>NC_000009.12:65375123-65595191 GCF_000001405.40 Homo sapiens | reverse complement strand
GAATTCCTAGTCCTGTGGGCAGGGGTGTGTGGAGGATGGCACATGGTGGTTAGCCTGGTCCAAGGGTCTCCACTCCCGTCCTAGCATCCTAGAGATCCTGGAGGCTAGGTTGGCCACAGAGACTGAGTTCAGGACAATTCCTTCACGCAGTTAACGAAGTTATCTGTAACTCCCTGGTTAAAACACACACACACACACACACACACAAACAGAAAAACTGGCAGTCATGGGAGGTATTTCCCCACTGGGCTGGTTGGTAGCATGGGAAGAACTGTGGACCCCTGGCCGAGTGGCACCTGGAAGGAGGCTGACATAAGAGTGGTGTAGCTGTGAGTGGGAGAAGTGAGATCTAGTGGGGTAAGTCCATGTTCCCTGTTCCTAAAGTCAAATTCTCCCTGAAAAGACCCAGGGCAGCACTGTTAGGGAGCTGAAGGAGTCCCTCTGTGCCCAGAGGGAATTAAGCCACTGAGGCCTCAGAGAAGGAGGGCGGGTGGGGAGGACTACCTCTCCAAGCCCCCATCAGAGCAGGCCCAATACTTGGAAATTCACTCCTCAGTCCACCAGATTCTGGTCCCATCCTACAACCCCACCAGGGCACAGGAGGCCCACATAAAAACAAGCTTTATTTGGCCAAATTAACTCACTTTCCTGGATTACCTCACTTATTGGAAAGCGAAAGTACACCCCATGCTCCTCGCCCTGCCCCTGCCTAAACCTCTTTATCTCTGAAGCCCGCTGTTTGAGACCTAAAAATTAGGGTTCAAGAGAAACGCTGTAGGACTACAGGAGTGACACGACAGTCCGTATCCTACAGTGCACTAAAAGCCAAACTAAAGGCTGCTTCCTCGGTGGAGAGTCTCAGGGTGATGTGGCAGGACTGTTAGCCGCTTCTCATTTTACAAGCTCCTTGTCCACAGTTGTCTGCACCAGCCCCTCACAAAACTGGTTCTCACCTTCTGGTGGGTGCTGGTGTTTACCCCTTTCCTCCCACTATCTGTTCAAACTGAGCCCACCCACCCTCCATTCACACCCCCTCCTTAAGGCTCCCTGAGCTCTATTTACCCTTTTGTAACTCCATCCCTCCATAAGTACACAACTCTCCTAGCTGGTTTCCTAGAGGGCAGATACAGTGTTCCCAGTTGGTCCTCTGCAGATATCTGTGAATAAGTCTCTCCCAGCACCTACATATAAATATGTCTGTTCTAGACAGACGGGCCTAAGTCCCAACGTAAACACATCACAAGATAATTACACCTTATATACATACAGATCTCTCTATAGAGTTATATTTGATAGTGTCTATAACTCTAGAGAGAGATTGAAGCATGCACATATAGGACTATAATTATGTCTATTTTTATAACTATGCAGTTATAAATAGATATGCCTATATATAGTGATAATAATATAGAAATATCTCCATAGCCATATATGGCTCTAAGTGAATGCTCTAACTACTCTATTTCACAATCAATAAGTATATATCTCCTGATACATAATTCTAACGATATACGTTTTTATCTATATAGCTGTTCAGAGATATAAATCTGTCAGGATATCAAATGTACATAAAGCCGGATGGCTGTAAGAGAGTCGTATATTTTCCCATATATAAATCTGCTCCTATAACTACTGTATATGCACAAATACAATGGAAATAATTATATTTCCCTCAAACGTAAATCTGTAAATACAACCACAGCACATTTAGGTACGGTTAGACATAGAGCAATATTTCCTAGACATCAGTCTGTCAGTAGAGCCACCAGTGCCTCCAAACAGAGAGTTATAGAGGGAGTTATAAATAAACTCTCCAGATGTGAACGGATCAGTAGAACTAGATGTAAACATGACTCCAAGCCGTTCCTCCTCTTCCTTCTTCTTCTTCTTCTTTGTAAGATATTCCTGAAGCAAGCCCAGTCATATAACAGGATGCAGAGTTGTCTGGGTACTGGTATTTTTTCCCCCAAGGAGGGTCGGAGGTCGCTGGACTTTGGGAAACTGTGCAGGAGTGGGTAGGGGACAGTGCCCGCTCCCAACACAGCCCAGAAGCCCCTTCCGTCTGTCTCCTGGTGGCTGAGAGCTCGAGCAAGTGGAGAGGCCTAAGGGAGAAAAATGAAAAAGTAGAGTCTGGCTTGAGTCGTTTGGCCCTTCGGCCTAAAACCCTCTCAACAGGGAAGCCCCGAACAGGCGTCGGAGCGGAGAGAGCCCACGAGGCCCAGAGGCTGGGGGAAAGGGGCTGCAGGCTGGGCTGTGGAGGCTGAGCAGAGTCGCCAGCCGGTGTCTGACCGCCCGGCCCCCCATCGCCCGGGGCCGCTGCCTCGCCGGTGGCCTGGAACACAAAACCCGGGCCCTAGCCCTGCGCCCTGTGCTCAGCACTTCCACTGGTCTTATTTTATTGCTGTTTTGTCCAATTAGGTATCACAGCGTCCTCCACCCGCTGTTGTTTTCAAATACGAGTGCACCCAGGGCTTTCTGAATGCGTGTGTTTGTGTGTGTGTGTGTGTGTATGTGTGTGTGTTGGCTTTAAATAAGTGACTCAGTGGATAGTGTATTTCTCTTTTCAGACCAAATGGGTCACCGGCTACTGAAAAAGAATCCAGACCTCTGAAAGGGTTCGTGACAAATTTTTTAGAAGTTCTCACGCTCATTTGTTACGATGATTTCCTTTTCTTTTTTCTCTTTTAAAAAAGTTGGCTAATTTGTGTTTCTATATTCCTATTTAATTTTGTTTTTATTGGGGGTACAAATGTTTTTAAAGGAGGGATTTCGTTAGACTCGAAACTGTGGGGTGGCTTCCTCTCTAGCAAACTTACTATTTCTACGCCTTTGATTCCCATCTCCCTCAAGAAAACAAACTAATTAAATGACCAGAAAACTGTACCTGGAGAAAATGAGGTATATGTTGCAGGATCCAGGACCGCAGTCTTTGCTAGCTTCATGAAAAATCGGCTGGTCTCCAAACTCACGAAGGAAAATTCAAGGCGCCTCAACTCCTCCTTTTAAATTTTTTAATAAAGAGCCTAGAAAGGGAACTTTCCCTGGGCCTGCCGGAGCCCCAGCCTGGCTCTCCCAACTTCCCAGCGGCCACAAGTGTTTTTCTGCTTCTGTTCGGGCACCCCATCTTCCCGGGCATCTCTGAGCTCCTGCCGGATCAAGGCTGTGGTCATCACCCCATTCATCTCTGGCGCTTGGCCTGAGCCTGCACATTTGGCCTCCTTCTTAAAACAGGGGCTCCTAGAGAGTCCCAAAATCCATTAACCATTCCCATATGTGGGATCCCTTCCCTGATCACACAAAGCAAAAGCCTGAGAAAAAAAAGCAATAAAGAGTGGCCTCCTGGCTCTCCTTCCCCTCTTCCGTCCCTTGTCTGGGAAAGGGTTTACCAACCCCAGCCCCGCCAAGAGCATATTAAGAAGCTTTCTTCCTCCCTTCCTTTCCTATCTCCCCCTCAGATGCTGTGATCCTGACTCCTTCTGTCTCCACCTCAAAATATTTCCTCTTGCATTTTATTGTTATTCTGTTATGGAGGGACTGTTAACTACTGTTTTATTATTATTATTCATTATTTATTGTTATTATGATTGTCGTTAGAGATTTGTTCACCACCGTTCAAGGGACAGCAGCCTGGCCCAGGGGGAAGCCTGCCTCTCCCTCTCTGTCTGTCTCTCACACACACACACATACACACCCACACACCCTAACACAGTGCACACTCACGCATATATGCTCACAAATGCCTGCTGTGTTCAGGCCCCTGCACAGGAATCCGAAGAGGCAGGCATCCTACCCCAGCACGCAAATAACACACTGCCCACGCACACCAGCATTCAGGCAGAACACCACCCCCAGACCAACGCCAAAACGCACACGCACCGAGCTTGCAAGGAAAGGAAAATACATAAAGAATCCCTTCTCTCCAAAACCTAGAGGGGCGAGTCAGGCCTCTGTCTCTTCCCCCCAGTCGCTTTCACTTTCTCTTTTTTTTTTCTCCTTGTTTACAGCTTCAGAGAGCTCAAGGCCCATAAATCTTGAGGGGTCTACAGAGCGCAGAGCACATTTGTATGCATCGTTAGGACTCGCTAATACCTAAGCCCATTAAGGAGCGTGTATGCGCGTGGTTTCCGGTGTGTATTAACTTATAGTTAAATTCTGGAGGAAAAGGCATTGTGAATTAACATATACCAAATCCATCATGGGCTTTTGTCATATCAGATTAGTCAGTCATGGGTTTGGGGGAGCAACTTGCCTGGGTTGAGGTGTACCCACCCTTCAAACTTTGTGGAGCAGGCCCCGGGGTCTTGGGAAACACGAAGGCATTCCTATCCAGCCCCAGTCATTCGGATCCCCCAGGCCTAGCGGCTGCACACCTGTGAGATGGCGGAGGGACTGCAGACCCGGGTGCGGGAGGCCAGTGCCAGCGAAGAGAGGTGGGCAAGGGAGGCCCCTCCAGCGTCCTGTTGGGGTTGAGTTGGGGCGACTCGTCCCATGGCCGCTGGGTCGTCTGGTTTCCGCTTTCCGAAAGAAATGAGAGGAGAGGCAAGTGGAGTCGCTGAACTTTGATTAAACCGTAGAGAAGACAGTGGGAGGAGGGAAAAAAAAAAGATCGGAGAAGGAGGAGGAGGTGGCCAAGAGATCGAGGAAAGGAAATCCTAGCGGCTTCGGGGAAATTGGAAATCTCTCCAAGGGGCTGAAAGCTGGAAGTTGTATGAAGGTGTTCCTTTCCCACACCCCAGCTACTCCACCCCAGTCGAAGAGGCTAATTCCGGACCTCTTATAAAAATAAGAAAGAAAAGGTAAATAAAAAGAAAATCTAATTATGTGGCATGTTTCAGCCAGGTGTTCCTGGTTCCAATGACTCAGACCCTATTGGAGCCCTGAGGATCTGGATAATTGGGCCTGCATAGACAGAGATGAAGGATGCCATTTCTAAACGGAGGAAGGGGAGAGGAAAGTCCATCTCTTGGGGTCTTGTAGAAAATGCCAAAGACCAACCAAGCTAAATTATTGTGTCCGTGTAGATCTATTTCCCTATTTACATACAGCAGGCTGTGGGGGTGGGGGGTGAGGGAAGGACCAGGATGGAGCTCGCTGGCAGGAGAGAAAATGCGCCCCCCGGCCCTTTGCGGGAACAGCCAAGGGGCCTCCTCAGCTCGCAGCTCAGGCGGCCGCGCGGCTGACCGGTCCGGGGCCATGGGCCCAGGCCAGGCTGGGGGAGGTGAGGCGGAGGCGGGCCCTCCCCGGGCACTGTGAACTTTAGCTGGGCCGCTGCCTGTCAGCCCCAGAAAGCATTAAAGGTGAAGCAGCCCGCGCCAGCCTCCGCAGCCGCCTTTGTACACGTGATTTATGACTTCAATCTTGGTTCACCAAGAGTTCACATGGCTTTCGCTGCTGTTGAAGGTTAAAAGATGGTCTTCGCTTGACAAGTTGGACTATTGAAAATTCCTTCTTCTTCTTTTTTTTTATTTTAGAAGCGAAGAGCAGAGGCTCAGGAGAGAAAAAAATTGGGGAGGGGCGGGGGACAGGGGTTGCAGGTGGGCCAAAATGGTAGGTCAGGAAGGTTTGTCTTCCTATATTTAGGATTTTTTGTTGTTAGGATTTGCGTGCGTGTTGGGGAGAGGGTAGAGAATAAGAGGGAGCTAGGCAAGAGATGTAAAGATCTCTCATATTTAGAGGCCAAAGGAGTGAAAAAAAATCGTGCTTCCACAGTTAATTATCTGGGTAACTTGGGTCACACCCCCTAACTGATCCTCCTCTAGAGACCGGAAATGGGACAGGTAAGGGAGAGAGTTTGGGTAAAGGGTAAGGTTTGTGTGCTTCTCACTGGGTGTACTTGATCATCCACCTTACCTGGGTAACTACTTTTTTTTTTTTTTTTGGAAATGGGGTCCAGCTCTGTTTCCCAGGCTGGAGTGTTGTGGCACCATCATAGTTCACTGAAGCCTCAAACTCCTGGGCTCAAGTAGTCCTCCCACCTTAGCCTCTTAAGCATGTGAAACTTCAGGCATGTGCCACACCGCCAGGCTGGGTACCTGCTTTTCAATGTGCTTCTGAACCCACAGATTTGGAAAAGGGCATTTTTAGGCAGCAGTCTTTCAACTCTCTTCATCCTGTAAGTTTAGCCTGCCATTTACATTTGATGCACATGAAGAGGCTAATGGGAAGGAAATCTATAGAACTGGAAATGGAAGTCCTTTCAAATCCCAAATTCCCTTGGTCTAAGAGCCAGTCTCTCTTCTTTCTAGCATTTTGACAATGGTCGTGCCACAGCAGAGGTGGTGGTCAAAGATCTCCCCAAGACCAGGATCTAAGGCCCCTTTGTGATCTAAGGCTCTGAGTACTTGGAGAGACAAAACTCACTCCTTCTTTGTAGATTCAGAGAGACAGAGAGAGAGAGAGAGAGAATGAGGAGATACCTTGAAACTGAGGATCTGCTTGGCTTTTCGAGGTTTTTTTTTAAGATATGTTTTTTTAAAATTTTCTGGAGTGGGAATTGGGATTGTGTGCACTGGGAAGGGGAACAGCAGAGAGCTGGGTCTGGAGTTGGGTGTGCCTCCCTAGCCCTATTAAGGCCCCATCTCCATTACCAACGCTAGGTAAATGTCTTCTTAAGAGATAGAGCCAGCCCCTCAAATCCAGATCTGGGAACCAAAGGCATCCACGCTAGAAGGGGCACTCCCTCCTTCTCTTTCTACATAGCATTAGAGAGGTATTTCCCCACCATGTGAGGACTTAGATAAGAGAAGGAGAAGAGCCAGAAAGATGTCCACATCTCGCCGGGACACCTAGCACCAGGCCCTCCTACAGGGGACCTCATATGTAAATAGCAGAATGGGGAGCAGAGAACAGAGAGACCCCAGAAATCCAGAGTCCAGGTTCTGAGGTCACTTTGGCAGGAATGGTCCTCTGGCCTTATGAAGAACAGAGGGGCAATATGGCACTGTTTAGAAGCTCAGGGGGTGGTAGCTGTTAGGAGGAATCAGCCAAGGAAGCTAATGAATGTCTTCCAGGTTCTGGTTTGGAAGCAGAGGGATGAACTTAATGGCCTCTGGAAGTAATGTCTGTACTGAAGTCCCCTTCTCACACTTTCTGACTGTGTTCCTCCCTGGGAAATAATTCCAGTGGGCTTGTGCTTATCTGCAAGTCTGGGGTAATTATGAATTATTAATTCATCATTAAGACTTGATTGTGACCATTGCTCTCCAGTGGACCCATTTATCTCCTTCTTTGTGAGGCAGAGGGCAGCCTCTATTAGCCCGTGGTTTCTGTAACAGGCAAACTGAGGCCAGCCCCTCTTGAAGGCAGTCCTTGAACTCTGCCCTAGGTGGGATGGTTGCCTCATTACCAGTCAAGTCATGTTGCACCTCAGAGTATTTGTGCGATAGAGCCACCTCCCACAAACTTTGGATTTCAAAGTGCTTTGTAGGCTCCTGGAGAGATAGAGTAGGGGATTGGGAGTGAGACTCCAACAGGGGAAGAAACTTGGCCAAGCTGTGTGTGGAGACAGGAATTAAGGTGAGGTAGGAGGACTCCCAGGCACAGTATCCAAGCAATCTGGGATCAGGAATGGGCATTTTGCCTTCCTTACCCTAAGGAGATGCTAGTCTCCCTCAACTCCCTGGGGACCCCTGAACACACATCTGGCCCCTTTTCCTGACCTCTCTTCCCCCACCAGCCTCTCAATCGAGAAGCACAGGTTTCAAGACACATCATCCCCTCCAATGGTTAGGGGTGGGAAAGTCAGATCTGCCAGTTGTTTCACATCTGTGAGAGGCCTGGAGAGGGAGAAAACTGCTCCTATCCCATGAGGTATTTCCCATCTAAATCCCTGCTATAAGCTCACCTCCCCCAGCACTGAAACAGTTCTCTTCATCCTTTTTTTCCCCCTCTTCTTCCCTCTGGAACCACAGACAGGGAGATTGAGGGCGGGAGAAGCAGCTCCCAACAGCTGTACCTAGAGGAAGAGACAGAAGTAGGAAATGAGGGGAGAGTGGCTTAAACCTGTTATTTCCCACAAGGTTTATCTCCATTCTTCAAACCCAGGTCAACACCCTGAAACCAGAGCCATGGGAAGCCCTCTCTCCTTGTTCCCCCAACTCTCTCTCTCTCACAGAAAAGGAGCCCTGTGTCCCTCCCTGAGGCCAAGGGGCTGCTCTAAAAACTGCTCTAAGAACACTACCACTTTCTACAGGACACCTGAGGGCCCAACACCCATGTATCTCTCAGTGCCTGTCTGGTCCAGAGGGAGCCAGTGGCTCTTGCCAGCACATCACCATTTTGTGCCCCACGAGGGGGTGGTCCATGGAGTCATCTCAACTTTCAGCCCAGACCTCACTCACTCTTTCTCCAAGCCACGCCAACATTCCTTGGTCTCTTCCAAGCCACGAGACAGGTAGGAAGCCCATTCAGAGGGTCCCCTGGAACTGGCTAATATAGTTTAATTTACTGTTTGGTGGTAAATAAAGAGAACTTGGGAAAAAAGGGAAGGAGCAACTGTGCCTAGCGTCCTTCTCAGCCACCCCTCCCCTGGACATTGGCTTTCTCCTTGAAACAGTGCACTGTTGTTCTTGGACAACCATTCCCCACCATCTTCATTGGAAGGGCTTGAGTTTCACCCTCCGTTCACCCCCATTAATCACCCCAGCAGCTAAACATCACCCATTCCCCTCTGGCCCTTTCTCTTCTTGCCCTTAGTATTCATGGTGGAGCATTCCTCACTACTTCATGCTCACAAAGACCCCTCCTCTGACACGAGGTCCCTCCCACTCCCCAACCACCCAGTCCACGATGGGCACTGCTCACTGTTCTGGATGTTCCAACTGCCGGCACCCACTCCTGGACCCCATTCCCCCACTCCCCAGCTATCTCCATAGCCACTGCCCCCTTCCCATGCACGTGTTGGCTTACCACACCCTCCTTCAGGTACCTCCTCTTAGCCCTACAAACCCTCTTCAGTCTTTCCCAGCCACCATTCTGCCCTCCATGCCCTATGCATCTGTAGCCCTTGTCTGCTTCCCTATACTTCTCCTTGCTTCTCTCTTCTTTCCTTCCCCAAGACATTCCGTAGGCACTTCATATGGTTGACCTGAAGCCCTTCCCTTCTGGCCCTGAGAAAGTGAGAGGCAGTGTACCACAGGGGTTAAAAGCATGGGTTTGTGATTCAAGTCCCTGATCTGACACTTGCTAGTTGTACAAACTTGGGCAAATTACTTAACCTCTCTGAGCCATCCATAAAATAGACATACCCACTGACCTTATAGAGTTGTTCTGTAGATCAGATTGAATTTTATGTGCATAGATCCAAGCATTCAGCAGGGGCTTGATAAGTGGTAGTTATTGTGTTACAAGCTTCTTGTGAAGAAAGAGAGATGTTCTTCAGATTCTAAAAAGTGAAGGAATTGCCTCCTCCAGCACCAGAGAGGGAGGGATAAAAATTACACAGTCTTGCAGATAAGCAGGGCCCATTTACCAGGCAGTGATACTCTTCTATTAGCTCTAGAGGGTCTCAACTTTCACTGCACATTGGAACCCCCAGCGAGTTTTTTTGTTTGTTCATTTTTGTTTTTGAGATGGTGTCTTGCTCTTGTCGCCCAGGCTAGAGTGCAGTGGCACATCTCGGCTCACTACAACCACTGCCTCCTGGGTTCAAGCAATTATCCCTTCCTCAGCCTCCCGAGTAGCTGGGATTACAGGTGTTTGCAACCATGCCCAGCTAATTTTTGTATTTTTAATAGAGACGGGGTTTCACCATGTTTGCCAGGCTGGTCTCAAACTCCTCACCTCAGGTAATCCACCCGCCTCGGCCTCCCAACGTGCTGGGATTACAGGTGTGAGCCACCATACCCAGCCACAAGTTTTTTTTAAAATACTGATGCCTGGGTCCCACCTCCAGGGATTCCAATTTGTTTGGCCTGTAGTAGGGCCTGGGCATCTGGATTTTTAAAACTCCCCAGGTTGCTAATGTGTAGCCAGAGATTGAGATGCAGGCCCTAGGAAATAATACAAGAGATAAGGGGGAGGGCTGACACTTCTGCCAGAGCAAGGGAGGGGAGGGATGCTCAGCTGAGAGCTGCTTCTCAACCTTGGACATCCCCTCACCAGTGGCACTGCTTCAGTCGGGGAGGTTTTCACTTAGAATTAGCTTCTCTTGAGATCCCAGAATTTCAGAGACTCTCACCCTTTTCATTTCCTGTAGCTATTAGAATTTACAAAGAGGCCACCCAAAGAGGAGACAGAGGAATTGACAAATTGACCTCTAAGAGGCTCATCTCTTATCAGAAAAGCATATTTTCCCCAGACCACCAGTGATAGAAGCAGAGGCAGATACCTCCAGTAGTGGGAAAATTTGTAGTTACATAGTAAATGGAGTTTCTACCTGGTTGCTACAATAATAGGCCGAGCGATTAGGATACAAGTTTCCAGGATCTTTTCCTATATTTCCAAAAAGATAAATCACCCCTAGGAACAGAATCTGCATATTGTAATTAACTGATAAATATTTCATGCCTGGCTCAAACTTTCTCCTCTTCTATTTAATGGCCACAAACTTGAGCACAGAGGAAACAGGAGTGAGGAGAGTGGGGGTTGGCTGTAGTGGGGAGGTTCTACCTTGGCTTCAGGGAGGGAGAAACTGTCTTGGTTAATTATTTACTGTCCTCCTGTTCTTTTAAGAAAACATTGCTCACCTGGAGAAAATCAGGTCCCAGGTGGTAAAGGGTGTGACTTGGGCTTGTTGGCCTCAGCCCTGACCTCTCCCAGGAGAGGCCAGGTTTTGGTGACCCTGGGGGTGCTGGGAACTGCAGGCTTTGGAGTCAAGGGCCCAGTGTTTAAACAAGAGCTCTGTTCTGTCACTTATTAACTGGATAGCTTTAGGTAATTTACATAATTTATGTGAAACTCAGTTTCTTCATCTGTAAAACAGACATAATTTTAACCTTGTAGGGTGGCCTATGCTCAGTTGGCTCTCAATGCATGATAACTATTATTATCAACAGTAACAATGAACAATTAATAGCCCATTGGATTGTACTCTTTCCCTTCCTCAACCCTGCTCCAATGTGTAGGGCACCTAAACTACTGAATGCTTACTGTGAGTATGGTGAATGCCTTAGCTCAATTAATCAACATAATTCTTTGAAGGGAATGTCTTATCATCCCTACTTATCTGTGTTTTGCAAATGAGGGAACAGGGCGTGCAGAAGTTAAATACCCTGCCAGGTGTCACACAACTAAGTGGTTAAGAGCACAGGCTCTGCAGTCTGACTGTGTAGTTTCAAATTTGGGCTCTGCCGCTTAATAATAGACTCTCCTTGACTTACGATGAGGCTGTGTCCCGATAAAGCTGTAGCAAGCTGAAAATATTGTAAGGTGGATATGCATTTCATACACCTAACCCACCAAACATCATAGTTCAGCCTCGCTTACCTTAAAGTGCTCAGGACACGTTCATCAGCCTACAGTTGGGCAAGATCATCTAGCACAAAGCCTATTTTATAAAAAAGTGTTGAATATCTCATGTATTCAACATGAGATATTTATTCATCTCATGTATTCAACATGAGATTCAACATGTTATAATATACTGTACTGAAAGTGAAAAACAGAGCGGTTGTATGAGTATTAGAAGTACAGTATCTAATGAATGCATATCACTTCGGCATCATCATAAAGCTGAGAAATTGTAAGTCAAAGCATCATAAGTCGAGGACCGTCTGTGATCACTGCAGGATGGAACATAAACTGCTTAACCTCGCTAAGCCTCAGTTTCTTCATCTGTAAGTTGGGGATATGAATGGTACCTACCTGAAAGGTAGTTGTGAGAATTAAGTGAGAAATGCGTGTATAGTGCCTGTCTCAGTACTGGCATGTGGTAAGTGCCTAGTAAATGTGAGTTGTCAGTACCATCATCATACTACCCAGCAACTCAGTGCCATGGCGTCTCCTGCTCTTTGGTGGTGTTTGGGAGGTGAGTGAGTGTGAGGGTCCTCCAAAGGTCACAGAGCTGCTCTTTTAACTCCCCCTGACAGACACACACACTTCAGTATCTAGGACTCGGGAGAAAGGACACTAAGCAGATTATGACTCCATTTCAGGAATTAAATCAAAACTCAAGACTATCTCAATTTGGCTTCTGACTAGAGGGAAAGGTTAAAAGGGAGTGAGGAGGCGGCTGGGTGTGCGTTCAGAATTGCAATTGGTTCTGGATCCCACCTCCCAGCCCCTCCACAGGGCCAGGCCCAAGGAGTATCCCCCAGGGGTGGAGGAGTGAAGGAGCCTTAGAACCTGTGTTATCTGAATGTGGGTGAGGTGGGGAGAACATGGTCAAGGAGTTGGGAAATTATCCAGAAACATTTTCCAAAGGGAGATCTTCCCGCATACCACCTCAGCCTGGCTCTGGATTGCAGGGGAACCCCAGAACGGATGGGGTCTGGGGGCTTAAGACAGGTAGGTGGCCTCAGTAGAGGGGAGAAAAAGTCCTGCTGGAGACAGTCGCCTCCCTGGAGAAGGACCTGGGCTAGTGTTCTCTTTAAAGACGTCTAAGCAGTCCTGGTATGCTAAAAACATTATGTGTATGTGTATAAACATATATTCTGTGTGTGAGTAGCCACTCAGCTCTTACTTGGCTTTGCACATTTGGCCCAGATTATTCTGAGCATTGTAAACTAAAAGTGAAATTCGGTTTCTACTTAAGAGAGAGCGTGATTTTCCTCAGTATTATCTCCCGTGCCCCCAACACTCCACCAGGCTTTAAAGGCCATTATACAGAAGGGAGAACTGAGACTCCAGGAGATGGGTGGCTTGTTCAGAATCACAGAAGCAGCGTGGATCCAAGAAGGGATCTGTTCCCAAACAGAAACCAGTGTCTTGGGAGAGTGAGAGCAGAGGAAGCCCGCACCTCTGCCCTAACCTGAGGCTTTGCGCCTCCCGCAAAGCCGAGTGAGTTGAGAGCGCCCAGAAGGCAGACGCTGCGGAGGGAGAGACTCCTGGGCTAGCCAAACAGCAGGGCCTCGGGCAAGAGCGTCACCTGCGCGTCCTCATTCTGCGATTACTGTCAGGGGACCATCCATCAGCGCCGCCCTGGACGCTGGGCCAGACTGCCCGCCGCCCGCACCGACAGGGTCTCTCCAGATCGCATTAGCGTGGGGCGAGGGCTCAGTGCGGCACTGGCTGCTGAGGGAGAGGCGTGGTGGGGAGGGGGGCGGGGCGGGGGGACGGGGACATCGCGGTGGGGCCATTGCAGGGGCAGGGGAGTGGCTGCTTTAGGACCCTCCTCCTTTTCTTCCAATCTCCCGCCTCTGGGATCTAAGGTGGATGAAAGGGGCACTAGAATGGGCGGCTTTTGGGGGGCAGGGGGTGCAGAACACTGAAGGCATCAGGGAAGGATAGTGATGGGGGCAGTTATCAGAAGCAGAGAGGAAGAAATACCTGTAAAGGGGAAAGCCAGAGAAATTGTCTGGGGAGGGGAGAGACTGAAAACGGGGGTGCAGAGATTGGGGGTTAGTGGAAGAAAAAGACTTAAAGGGAAAGGAAAAGAGAAGCTGTAGAGGGAAAGAGAATTGGCAAGGAATTGACGAGAGAGCAGGGAAACAGGAAACCACAGATCGTCAGGGGCTGACAAAACCTTAGAGACAATCTACTGCAGCCCCTCATTCTACAAATGAAGAAATGGAGGCCCAGAGAGGGGAATCCCTTCTCCAAAGACCCACTCCACCTGCTGGCTGGGCAGGCTCTTGACCGCAGGCTCATTCATTCGACCCATGTGTTTTGAGCATCTGCTGTGTGCTGGGCACTGGTCTGCCGAGATGATGCAGGATCAGCTCCTGCCCTCCAGAAGCTACAGTCTTTCCTCAGGGGCTTGGAGAGGCTGAGCATCCAGGAAGCTCCCTCACCCCCAGCCAGGAGGGACTCCCTGAGCCCCACCTCTCCTGGCCACTGAACCTTCCTTGCCCTCTGCTGTTCTGCTTATCTCCTCATGGAGGGTGGCCGTTCCCTGGAAGATCTTCCCTCTCCACTTTCCTGGGGACTCCCCAGGTGTGGAGACAGGTACTCGACAGTTTGGCCAACTTGTTCTATCTCCCACAGCCAACAGCGTAGGCCTAAAAGCAAAGTCCATATTCCTTGCTGGGTTTCACCTCTGGGCATGGACAAATCCCACAGGTTGGACTGAGATCCAATTGAGCTGTGGTAAGGAGGATTGAGGCTGGACATGAAGAAGTACTTCCAGGTCCCACAGTGTGAGATCATTTTCTTGCTGGGGCTTTAAAGTAGCTGTCCTTCTGTGAGCACAGTGTTGGCACCATCTTCCAGGGAAGGACTTGTCTTCCTCAGTCTCCAGTTAGCCTTGTGCGAGGCATTATGCTGGGAATGTTGGGGTTGCAGATACCTGGTCTCTGACCATGGGGTTTCTGCTCTAGACATGGGTGAACTGACATCTCCCTGGCATCCTCCCAGTCACTGCCAGCTCTGCAACATCATGGAACCCCTGAGTCCTTCACAACTCCCAGATCATCTCACCCTTCCTCCTTGCTCTGGGAAGACCGTGTCTGAGTAGTTCCAAACAACCTCTCACCTTAAACCCAGTCCCTGATAATGAGAAGTACCTCCTTAGTCTGGACTTGACCTTCCTTGCTGCCATGGTCCATCAGCAATGACCAGGGCTGAAGCAGCACGTTTTTTCTATAAACACCGCTCCCTCCCAGTGATGCTCACCCAATCCTCGGTGGTCAGGCAGGGAGTGGGGACAGCTTCCTGCCAAGAGCTCTGGAAGGCAGCTCTGCCTCCTCTGCCTGAAGCAAGCTACTGTATACTCTGAGATGGTGGTGTTCATTTTAAAGAAGGGACCATCTTTCCTCCACAGCCAGCTTACATTTGGAGGGAGACAAATGTGAGTTTCCAATCCCAGAATCTTAGCCACTGTACCAATCTCCATGGATGCATGGGATTCAGGAAAGGAGAGAAATGAGCAGAGTGAGGACATGGATAGAATCCATTTCCTACCCCTTGTTCCAGCCCAAGTCCCAGGGAAAGGCCCACAGAGGGCAAGAGAGGTGGACACTGAAAATTCCAGACTAAAGACCAACAGACAGATTTCAACATTATTCCTTCTTGTAGGCAAAGTGATACCTAAGGATCTAACCAAATGAAAAAGCCTGGGAAATAGGCTATTTCTGCACCCCCTGACCCTTCATGCAGAGCAGGATATCGGCTTCAGCCCAGGAGCAATGCTAGAAGTTGAGAGGTTTGGAGTAGACTGTGAAGCAGTTCCTCCAAGGGCATGCCAGATGAGGGGGTTGGAGCACCCAGCCCAGAACAGCATCCAAGGAAGGAGGCCTTGGCAGTAACTTTCTGTCTCTGTATTAACTTCACATACATTGTCTTGTGTGATCCTCAGTGCCAGGTTCAGCACCAGGCACAGAATACATGCTTGCTGTACAAATGCATAAGTGAAGAGCCATGGGAGGAAGGTCAGGATCCTCAATTGCAGATGAAGAAACAGACACACAGAAAGGTTAAATGACTTGCTCAAAGTCACATATCTCATCAGAGACAGGGCCAAGTTTCAGTGGAGAGCCACTTTAGTGGTAGAGGGTGGTAGGGAGGAGGGAGGCAGGAAGGGAGGGAATGAAACATCAGACACCACACTGGGGGAGAGGAGAGCTGTCATCTCTTTCTCTTTGTGAAAAGAGATTACTTCCTGGGAAAGGTGGCATTTAAGACCACACAGTTTTAAAAACGACCCATTGAAGGTTGATTTGTAGCATATGCAAAGTTCTGCCAAAAACATGGACAGGTCAATGAGTAGACGGGGTCATTGAGGATCAGAAAAGAAAGACAACACTGAGAGTCTGGACAGCTAAGCCCCAGAATTTTGCTAATCTTAAATGCTGGGTGACATCAGGCCTTCCACACCCCTCTCTGAGCCTCTAGAGAATGGAGATGCCAGACGTGGAGGAGGGTACACATGGGCAATAGGAGGCAGGTCATTGCCTTCAGGGTAGCAATTGGAGGCATCAAGTTCCCACTTCCCTAGACCTATTCTTTGTTGTTATTGTTGTTGCTTTCATCTGATTTTAATTGTTTTATGTTTTTTGAATAAGAAATACACGTACATGGTTCAAAACTCAAAAGGCACCAAAAGTTATACAGTGACAAGTAAGTCTCCCCAGAACCTCAGAACTCCCAGGCCACCCATGTCCTCACTCCATTAGAACTGCAGTAACCACTGAATTGTATAACCTCCAAAGGTATTTTCTGCTTCTCCTGGCTCGTACCCTGAGGCCACCACAAAACCGAGTTGAGCACTGATATTCTGAGGAGATGTGGTAAACATGTTTTGGCCCCTGGACTGGTGGGGCCTTGGAATACTAAATACTCTCAGTTTCCACTCTGAAAAGATGCAGAAACTTGAGGTCAGGAGAGAGGACATTTCTGCGTGCTTAGAAGCTCAGAAGCCTCGCAGGTGAGAGGATGGAGTTGGGAGCCAGGCAGAGGCAGGAACCCTCTTCGGGGCTCTAGTACCACACTCCCACCCCAGAGCCTCACAGTGCCCACTGGGTTAGCCTGGCTCAGGTATGTACCCAGTTAGGTCCTGCTCAAGTTTTCCAGAGAAAAAGGCCCAGTGCTTCCCCTCCACCACCTGTCACATTGTTGGGAGGCCTTTCTTGATGTCTCACTCTAGTTCCTTTGACTTTAGGTGCAGCCCATGGCTTTTGATTCTGCCCTCAGTGGAGATGGAACATGCTCTTGGAGATGATAGCTTCCAGTGACCCAGGCTCTTCCTCCCACTTGCATACACAATTTTCTTTCAGGCCCTCTAATTCCACCTCAATCTTTTTTCCAGACTTAGAAGACACATGCCTGTTCTTTCAGCTACCCTCCCCCACCTGAATTCCCAGTCTGCCTCCATTCCCAACCACCTCATTCTTGCCCTGCACATCCCTTTGGCATTATTATCCCCAAGTATGCTTTGGTCATGAAGATGGTAAAATCCCAACCTAAAGCCAAGTCCTCCACCAGATTCCAGAGGTAAATCCAGCCTAGTCTCTTTGATAACTGAATCTCTCCATTTTGGGTGATGTCCTAGCCCGACTCTTGAACTTGTGCCCAACACTCGGACTCTCAGATCCTCACACATGGCCTGTTGTGAGATAAGGCACAAGTTCATCCCAAGCCTGGGATGGCCTCCCCTCTGTTCTCTTCTCCAAACCCTCCCCTGGTGAACCTCATCCTTTGCATTTACTCACTAAGCAATTATTATTGAGTACTATTCCAAATTCTTAGAATACATTGGTGATCAAAACAGAGAAAGACCCCCCACCTGTGTGGAGTTTACATTCTAGCAGAGAAAGACAGATAATGAACAATATTCTTACTAAATAAGTAAATTATATCATATATTAGAAAATGATAATTGTTACAGAAAAGGAATAGATCACGTACAGAAGGATCAGCATGGAGGGGAAATCTGAGGTTTTTAATATGGTTGTCAAGGAAAGCTCACTGCGAATATGGTATTTGAACAAAGACTTAGAGGTGAGAGAGGAAGTTAGCCCCATAGACATCTTGGCAAGAGTATTCCAGTAGAGGGAGTGGCTGGTGCTAAGGCCCTGAGGCAGGAACATGCCTGGCAAGTCTGTGGGAGTGAGCAAGAGTGGGAGGAGATGGCATCAGAGAGGTAAGGAGGGAACAGACGATGTTCGGCCTCGTAAGTCAACTTAAGGACTTTGCTTTTTACTCGGAGTGAAGTAGAGAGGAAAGACATGATTGGACTTCAGGGTCTTGTTTTGTTTTGAGAGACAGTCTCACTCTGTCACCCAAGCTAGAGTGCAGTGGCACAATCTTGACTCACTACAACTTCTGCCACCCAGGTTCAAGTGATTCTTATGCCTCAGCCTCCCAAGTAGCTGGGATTACAGGCACCTGCCACCATGCCCAGCTAATTTTTGTAGTTTTAGTAGAGACGGGGTTTCACCATCTTGGCCAGGCTGGTCTTGAACTCCTGACCTCGTGATCCACCCACCTTGGCCTCCCAAAGTGCTGGGATTATAGTCGTGAGCCACTGCACCTGGCCTGAACTTCAGTTTTTAAATAGTCTTTTTGTCTTTTGTGTTGAGAATAGATCACAGGGGGCCAAGGGAAGATGCAGGGAGACTTGTTGAAAGGTCATTGCACTAATCCAAGTGAGAAATGTGTGGCTTGGACCAGGATGGCAGCAGTGCATGTGGTGAGAAAGGCCCAAATTCTGGATTTGGTGACAGTTTCCTCTTCCTTGGCTTCCATCCTTTTGCTCTCTTTGCTTCCTCTCTTCTTTTCTAGGTTGCATGTTTTGTCTCTTCTTGAAGACTGAGAGCTCTCTGTGGGTGGGGCTCAATCTCTTTTCCTGGGATCCAGGGCAGGACCCCAGGCAAAGGACAGACAGGCCCCGTGCTGCCTGGGAACAGGCTGACAAGCCACGCAGCTTCACAGCCCTCCCCAATTACAGGGTCCCTGAGCCAAGGGGAAGAGGCTGCTGTTTCTAAAGAGGATGTGATGGACAGTTATTGAAGGTGCTTAGCTGGGGGCTCCACTCTAGTCTTAATCTGAGCCGCCCTCAAGGAAATCATAACCAGCTCTTAAAAACATGTTGAGACCAAAGCTGGTGTGTGTGTTTGAGCGGAGCTTCAGACAGCTACTTAACACTGGGGGCCTCTGGGCTTTTGATTCCTCCACTTCTAGCCTGCCATCTCCCCCCAGCTGGCTGGTGCTTATCAGCCAAGACGTTGTTTAAATCACACTCATTTCCTATAACCATTTCATTTGAAATGCCATCCTCTGCTCCAGAAATTCATCTATCACCAGCCTAGGGGTGTAGTTGAGGAGCCTTGGGGTGATCGCTCCCCATCTCTACCCCTGCCCCCAGTCACCCCTCCTCCCATGACCCATATTCTCAGGTTTCACTCTATAAGAACTACTTCCACTCGGTGTGACAGGGCACTTAGTGCCAGAATTATTTATAACATTGAGATGGCAACAGGGCAATGGAGAGCAGCCCAACCCATGGACACTTTCTCTTTGAAAGCTCGATCAATGGACCTAGATCACTGTTTACTACTTGGTGTCTCGGCCTCTGCCATGTTTCCTGCTGGCTTTGGGGGATGGGGATACAGGGGTCTGGACCAGGTCAAGGCTGTCCTCAGAGTTTATGATGCTTATAAGCCAGGCCTCCAATAAAGTTATGCCTTCACTGTACCTCTATTCCTTGGCCAGGCACTTCCCTGCCTCAGGTGAGCTCTCTTCTTGGAAATGAACCATTCTTGGGGCTTTTTCTCAAACAGGAGCCCTCTGCCTCCCCCAGGAAAGCTGGTATTATGTCCCTACCACAGTGGCAGAGCTAGGACTTGAGCTGAGGAAGTCATCTGATATGGATCAGAATGGGGATGTAGAAGATTCTGGGAGTTCTTCTGAGGAAGGGCTTGAATTGGCCCCACCCAGTCTGGAGTGGAGGTAGAGGGATGGATGAATTCACTTCTTAAGGACTGAAAACCTTTTTACCATCCTCTTCCTCCCCAGCCATAGCCAATTACTAGTTGTCCTAATTTGAAGGCTCTGTTGTCTGGACTGGAGGATTTTTACCCATTTTCCAGCCCCTCTCCCGGTCTCATTTATTTGGGCAGTGTCACATTAAAGGCATTGTCAGACTTCCTAGTCCTTCCCAAAGGCCTGACCCAACTCCTTCCCAAATGGTGAAGCACCTCTGCCTCCTTCCCTTTACACCTGTGGACCTACCACACTGGGGAACTCCTAGGTGAGTCCCAGAGAAAGCCCAGGTGAAAGACTATGAGCCTGTCGGAAGGGATCAGGGTAGAACCCAAGTTGGGACAGGCAGGGGAGGCAGTCCTAGTCTTTAGGGGGGTCAAGTAATTCCCCTTTACAAGCCAAATGAAGAAAAAAAGTTCTAAGGGGAGCATATGACTCCATAAATAAAGGACATAATTGGGAGTGATATCTAATTTATCTATTGAATGCCTCCTACATACTCTTTTATCACTTAGATGGACAGAATATAATTGGTGTGCTGTGCGCCATCAATCTCAGGGCCTGGGCTTCCTGTGCTGGCTACACCTATTACTGTCAGATTATGACACTGTAATATCAAGATCAATGACATTTTAAACGTGCTCCAGTTATGGGCAATTGCTGACAATAAAAACAGTGACAAATTGATGAAACTTGGGCAGCGATTATCTGGTGTCAAAAATAAACCATAAAGAATCTGATTTCCAAACAGAGAGAGGTGCCTGGGACACCAGCTTAGGAAGGAAAGGCCCAGCGAGAAGAGAACTTATCCTGCTCACATGATCTTGGCCACTCAGGAAGCCACCTGCTCTGGAAAACTCCCTCTAGGCTGACCTGCAAGGCCCCAGCAGGAAGATGGAGAGGTGGTCTTTGGTTAAGGCTTGGGTTCCCCTTAGAGAGAATCGTCATCACTGAGACTCTGGGAAGTGTCTGTGTGTGACTGCCAAGGTGGGTGCCACACAAACTCACTGAGATACTGGTGGGTTGTCTCTCATGTCCTGCCCACACTGAGGAATTAGGGCAGACTGGCTGAGACATAGAATCACACTTAGCCAATGTTAAAGCTAAAAGAGACCTTGAGAGTCTCTCTTCATGGAGGGTCAGGCTCTGTCCTCCAAACTGTCCCTCAGCAGAGGGACCTGGATCTTCCCTAACTTGACCCAGGCATTATTTCCCCAGGCTAATCCCCTTCCCCACCCATTGCAGGGAACTCCAGGCCTTCAACCAGAAGAACTATTTAGCGTACATTAAGGTGGGCCTCCTCCAGCTCCTCTTTTTTGGTTTTTTTTTTTTTTTTTTTTTTTTTTAGATGGAGCCTCGCTCTGTTGCCCAGGCTGGAGTGCAGTGACAAAATCTCCACTCACTGCAAGCTCTGCCTCCCAGGTTCATGCCATTCTCCTGCCTCAGCCTGCCGAGTAGCTGGGACTATAGGCACCCGCCACCACACCTGGCTAATTTTTTGTGTTTTTAGTAGAGACGGGGTTGCTCCATGTTGGTCAGGCTGGTCTCGAACTCCTGACCTCAGGTAATCCACCCACCTTGGCCTCCCAAAGTGCTGGGATTACAGGTGTGGGCTACCATGCCTAGCCTCCAGCTCCTTATTTTTAATGGATTACCTTAATTTGTAGTATTCCTTTCATATATTTTTCTCACTTTAATAATCACAGTTTTAAAATATGAATACTTTAGTAGCTTTGCTAATACTACTTTATATAATAATACTTTAGTAGTATTGCTAATACCACTATTATAAGGATAACTACTATTGGGAAGCATTTATTGTGCAACTACTATATGTAAACTCTGTTCCAGGTGTTTCATGTGTATTATTTTTCATCCCCACAGCAGCCCTGTGAGGTGGGTATTGTTCTTCACATTTTAGAAGTGAGGAAACAGGCTTAGAGTCATAGTGATGTGCCTAAGATGACACAGCTGATAAGCAGTGGAGCAAGAAAGGAGCCTGAGATGTGGCTCAACATTCATCTTTTTTCCATTGCCCCTTTCACAGACCTTTATAGTCCCATTTATAGATGGGGCTGAGGGCCTCCCTAAAGAACCTATAGCTAGTCAAAGGCAGAGCTAGACCTAAGCCTAGCTTTTCTGACCCTTCTCGTATTAGACCTGCATTGTATGTATTTTTTTAAAAGACTGGTCAAGTGCAATAGTGAGAAGGGGGAAGGAGCAGAACAAGGAGTTTGATCTGTAACTGACTGTGAACAATCAATTGAGATAAGGCACTACCTTCGGAACACCCCCCACACTCTTTCCAGATGCACCACAACAGTCCTTTCCCCAGGTCACCACCACTCACTCAGCCAGGGGCTTCAGCCTTGGCCTCTAAGAGTCAGCAGGGGGTCACAGTTGGCTTTGAAACCAAGCAGACAGGTGTTTGAATCCCCACTCTGCCACCTTACAGCTGTGTGGCCTTAGGCAGGTGGTTGTGAGAATTTAAATGGCATAAGCATATAAAAGCATTTGGCGTAGAGTCTGGCACATAGTAGTGCTCACTAAATGGTAGTCATTAAAGATACAACCTGGGACAGTGGCAGCTAGTTTAACAAACCACCACACCCCATAGCACCTCTCACCTGGGTGCAAGTGCCCCAGGCCACACTGCAGTAGCTGCTCGCTGAGGGTGTCCCCGGATATATAAGAAGCCTCTCTGAGGGCCACAGAGGTTTTTTGATGGCAGATGGTTTAAAACACCATTTTTATATTAAGTTGTATAAAATATACTACGTTATAAAATGCAAAGTTTGCATCATTTTAGAGCTAAAACTTAAGGCCACAAAAGAATCTGCTATTTTCTTATTAATAAAAAATCCTATTTTTATATAATGCAAATAATGAAGATGAAGTAACCTATTATTTAAGTAAACATGTCTTTTTTTTTTTAAAAAAAAAAAGAAAGAAATAATTGGTCCTTGCTAATGGCCCTTCAGGGCAATCCCCCAGACTGCTGGGGTCCAAGTTTACCCTCCTGCCTCTAATAACTAGGGACTTTGGCAGAAAAGTTTGAGAAACCCTGTCAGGAAGAGAGCCTACACAAGGACCAGGAAATCTGACTTCTTCATTCTTTAAAAGAACAAAACAAATAGCAACATTGTGTTTTCTACCTTCCTAGTGTTTTACCTTCAAGTTTAGCATTAAGAACATGAAATGTTTTGTGTAAATTTGTGATTCTTATTTCTGGTTCCTTTCTGTTTAGTAATTACTAGCTGAATCATTAATCATCAACCAAGTGAATGGTCACACTTTATAGAAGGCTACAAGGTGGAACACAAGATTAGTTGGATTCTTAAGAAAGAAACTAAAAGCTGCTTGAGACTTAGATGCTCTTAAGTTTTATGACTGTGGTGGGAATTTGAGCATCCAGGCCTTGCTTCTGATGGTCCTCTCATTCCAGTGCCCCAGTTCTAATCCTCTGTGGGTGCCCTCGGTAGTCACAGCCTTGGGGCTGCCCAGGGCTCAAGGCGTCCATGCTTTTAAAGTGCCCAACAATGGCTTTTGATTCATCAGAAACTCCACAGGACACCCACCTAACTGGGGCTCTGATACCTAATTCAGCAGCACCTACCACCAAGTCTTTCTAAGTTTTATTTTTTTTAATATTACATGCAATATATGTTAATTATAAATAAATGTAATAATTCAGGTAGGTGAAAAGGAGAAGGAAAAAGGCCCAAGTAGTTTCCCCACTGAAGAAGAACCCTGGTTAGTGAGGCAAGTCACGTGACTTTCGGAATCATGTTGAATCTACACCCATTTAAGGTGGAAGTCTATATAGCCTGATTCTTTGATGGTTTAGAGCTCTGCTCAGTTTAGAGTTCAGGGAGGTGGTATCTACAGGGTGTATTGCTCTGATAAAAATTAGCAGCCTGCCCAAGTTCAAGGTATGAGGGGACCAATCACAGATTGGTTTGAGAATCATTATGTTGGCCCTTTGGTGACTTAGGGATTAGATCCAGAGTACAAGGGGCCCACACTTCCAAGGGATCCCACCACACCTTCAAATAGCAGGCTCATGGAAAGGGGATTCCAAGATTCTCCCCCTCCAGCTACGGCATTGCTTTACAATATTTAACATTCCTTGACTAAAGAGCAAGTCTAAATTGCAAGTACTCCTAGGACAGGGACTGGCTTAGATCCATGACAGCTCCCTCTCTGAAAGAAGGGCATGCCTTACTCCACCAGACCAAACAAAACTAAAGTGACTTCTCTGCTACCCCCAGAGAAGGGCACTGGGGATGGTAAAAGCATTTCTGTCCCTGCACCCAGGGATGAAGTAGAGAAATGCCACTTAACCATAGCCAGGACCCAAAGAATTGTGAGTGGAAAAAGTGACAAAAACAGAGAAGGACAGAACTGTGAGCCACTGCACTTCATTTAGGAAGTCAGTGCTAGGGTAACAGGAAGGATCGGGTGGGCTTTCAGGGGAGTGGAACCTGTTAGAGAAAGAACAAAACTGAGTGGAGACGCAAGGCAGGAGACCATTTATAGGTGAATTAGCAGCAGAGGGTGGGTGGTGGCTGTGCCTGGGGCAGGGGTGGTGGGGTGAGGAAGTGGGGGTGGCAGTGACTTTGAGGGAGCTCTTGCAGAAGGTAGCTTTTTGAGGTGAAGAGCCAGAGCTCTGGGTTTTAAGAGTTGGAAAGCAGGTTATATTTCACATCCTTCCCTGAACAGAGAAATTGAATTTGGTCAAGAATAAGTCCTAAGAAGCAGTTGTGAGCACCCCATTTTTCCATCTTGTTGATGGATATGGAGTGGGAGCAAAGTTGAGTGTGGGCATCTGACAAGGTCTTTATGATCCTAGATGCACTTACTATAACTTCCTCCTCCTCCTCTGCCTTGGCTAATGGGCTGTGGGTACCCACCGCACAGAGGGCTATAAGACACTCATTGTGGCTGATGGAGAAGCTGGGCCCTGCCCTCCTGGCCTTCTGAGGAAAGTGATTATTGTTTTTGGCTTGTTTTTCAACTATCCCTTTGCCCCCAGCAGGACTGAACCTTTCCACTCTTACCATCTCTGGGTCCCTTCAGATCTTTTATAGCCTTGAACTACCCGCTACAAGATTTTTTTCTGTCCTAAGAACGGAAGTCTGGTCTGCTTCCTAACATTAATCCCTTCCACACAGCACAGCCTCGTTTCCTCTAGATCAGAGAGATGGCTTCTGGATTCATCTTTCCCTGCAATCCAGCTTCTCTTCCTGGGGCCCTCATAATGGAGACTGGGATCATCATCCAGGCTTTTCCACTGGGTTAGGAATTTGGGAGTCATCCTGGATCCATCTGCCCCTGTCAACCTTTCTCTGTCAACAGATATTTACTGGGCATCTCCAACAGCCAGGCCCTGTTCATGGTGCTGAAGAACAGCATGTATAAAACAACCCTGCCCTCACAGGGCGATCACCAGTGACCTGTGATGTGGAGTCTCCTTTTACCTCTGTCTCCTCCTTCCCACTGTCACCATCCTTGGTCCTCCTCTGTCACCTGGAATACTCCACTTGGTAACCAGCATGATCTTCTTACGCTAGTTTTACCCTTGTCAGCACTTTGCCGAAAACCTCAAATAAAGACTTTTTTAAAAATGTGCGATGGAAAACTAAAGTTATAAATTATATCATAACCATTGGACCTCTTTTTAAAATGCACTGAAGCCTTATAATGTTATCCATGGATATATATCTAAGATAAAAATAGAAAAAATATATGATGGTGGTGCTTCTGAAAGGGAGGGGAATGGTACTGGGGAAGGGACAAAGGGAACTTCAACTTTATCTGTAATGACCTCTTTATTTTGAAAACTCAAGAGCAAAATTGACAAAATTTTAACAGTAACTTAACAAAACCTCAAGTCTGGATAGTGGGTTCAAGAGTGTTACTTTATATGGACAGGCAGTGACTCACGCCTACAATCCCAGCACTTTGAGAAGCCAAGGCAGGAGGATCTCTTGAGCCCAGCCATCCTCCCACCTTGGTCTCTTGAAGTTTGAGACTAGCCTAGCCTGCATAGTGAGACCCTGTCTCTTAAAAAAAAAAATTGACAGCAACTCAGGAGGCTGAGGAAGAAGGATTGCTTGAGTACGGGAGGTCAAGGCTGCAGTGAGCTATGACTGAGCCACTTCACTCCAACCTGGATGATAAAGCAAGACTCTGTCTCAAAAAAAAAAAAGTTAAAAAAAGAAAGTGTTCTTTGTAATCCCAGCACTTTGGGAGGCTGAGGCAGGTGGATCACTTGAGCTCAGGAGTTCGAAACCGGCCTGGCCAACATGGTGAAACCCTGTCTCCACCAAAAATACAAAAAAATAGCCAGATGTGGTGGGATCAGTCTGTAGTCCCAGCTACTCAGGAGGCTAAGGCAGGAGAATCACTTGAACCCAGGAAGCGCAGGTTGCAGTGAGCCAAGATCTCACCACTGCACTCTAGCCTGGGCGACAGAGTGAGACTCCATCTCTCTCTAAAAAAAAAAAAAAAAAAAAAAGGAGTGTTACATTAGTTGTCTATATGTAGATACACTTGTCAAAATTTAAGCCATAAAACCCTCAGTGTCCCTCACTGTTCCCACCCCCTTAGCCTGGCATACTGGGTCTTTCACAAGCTTGTGTCAACCTCCTCTACAGACTCATCTCTACACTGAGGGACTTGCAGTTTCCAAGTCCTCTGGCCTTGGGACCTTTGCCCATGCTGTTCTCTTCTGAATGCCCTTTCCTGCTTTGCTACTTTGTTCTTGCCCTTCTGGATTCAGCTCCTGGGAGGCCCTGTGGATTGAAGTCATATGGCTCAAGTAGGCAGCTGTTTAGGATCCAGGAGACAGAAACGTGTCTGGGGAGGACAACACTTTCTTGTCCTGGTTTCTATTCAGCTGCAACTAGAGAAACAGATCACCTGTTTCTTGTTCAAAACTAGGATCAGTGAGAGGAGGGTGGAAAGAGTAAGATCCTCCACAGTGCCCTCCCACCTCCCAGCCTCCCCCTACATAGCCTAGCCCCAAGGCAGAAACTTCCCAGCAGAAAAAGGAAAACTGATAACCTCATTCCTTGGTCTGGCTCTGTTAGGATTATCATCTGTTTTCCCCTGCTGGTATTGGAAACACAAACTCTAGGCCCAGGACACCCTCCCTATGCCATCCCACACTTGACTTCTGCGCACCTTGTGAGCAGATCAGATTTGGTGTTGCTTCTTCCACATCATCCTCACATCCCCTTTCACAGACTCGGATAGATCTCCTCATGGGAACCTATGGATCTATGGCATATCTATGGATATGCCATCCCATGGCAACTGTCCTTTCCCCTTCATAGCATACATCACCCTGAATTATAGCTGCCTGTTTATGTATGTGTCTTCTGCACCAGGTAGTACTCTCTGATGGGGCAGGGATTGGGTCTGCCTTGTTCACAGTTGCATCTCCAGCACCTGCAACTCTGCCTGGCTCAGAGTAAGTGCTCAATACTTTTTGTTCTTGATTAAATGGTAGAATGATGAGTGAACTCTATTTCCCACTAGACTGTGAGCACCATGTTGACAGGGACCATGCCCTGATCATCTCTGGATCCTTAGGGCCTATATAGTGCTTGCCACATAGGAGGTGCTCAGTAGACACTTATGGATTTGAGTGAATGGACTTCAGTTTCTCCACTTACAATCTGAGTAAGAGGAAGATATTCTTTGCCCTCTCTCCCTCCTTCTCCAGCCACATTGGGGGTTGTGGTTGATGCTGTGAGGTCGTTCCTGCCTTATTCAACTTCATGTCCAAATCTTCTAATGGCAAAACACAACATGGTGGCCAAGTCTCAGAGTCCAGGCATCCCTCCCATAGCCCATAGCCAAGTATGGGAGAAGGGTGCTTCAGGGTCTCTCTCCATTCACTTTAGTCTCCAGCATTAGCCAAGATCCCACTGTCTACCCTGAATTCTTCCTGCTATTGCACAAGGCTTCTTTCATCTTACTGTATTGTCAGGGAAAATATAGCCAAGATTATCTGCTCTCAACCTGAAGTAAAATATAGATTCTGCCTAATTTTAGAACCGGTGTTAGCCAGGTGTGGTGGCTCATGCCTATAATCCCAGCATTTTAGAAGGCCAAGGCAGCAGGGGAATCGCCTGAGTCCAGGAGTTCAAGACCAGCTGGAGCAATATGGCAAAACCCCATCTCTACAAAAAAAGCAAAAAAATTAGCTGGGTGTGGTGGCACACACCTGTAGTCCCAGCTACTCAGGAGGCTGAGGCAGAGGATCATTTGATCCCGGGAAGTGGAGGGTGCAGTGAGCCAAGATCGTGCCACTGCACTCCAACTTGGATGACAGAGTACGATCCTGTCTCAAAATAAAAATAAAGAATAAAACCAGTGTTTCCACATCTGGAACTTTCTTTTCAAGTTTATATCACCTCTCCTTCCAAATCAGGTCTCCCCTCTTCCAGGAAGTACTCCTTGATTAAGCCAAAAATGTTTTAATTTTCACCACTTGTCCTATTACTCTGCATCCCCACAGCACTTGTAGTTTGTACTTATTCCCTATCCTGTTTAAGTGTGTTCATCATCCTAACCATACTGCATAAGCAGGCACTATTTTAAGAAGGCTTGATAGATTATCAGAAATTGACAAGAAAAAATACACACCAAGAAGAAAGTAGAAGAGGAGTTTTTTCTTTTCTTTTCTTTTTGCTTTATCATAGAATTTCTTGTCTTTGTGCTTACAAGCTGTGTAGCACAATGAGAGGAGAATGTGATTTCTGCAAAACATTTCAGGAAGCACAAAGAAGTATCTGTAAATACCCAGGAATAATGACCATGTCTTTTATTTGTATTATTTTTCTAATTCCTCCACTCTATAGGGTTTGCCCAAAGTCCTTGATTTAAGCCCTTGAGTGTTGATTGGCTGACTTAGCTGTGGATTGTGGTCCACTGAGATCGCTGGATCTTTTTAAGCTTTAGAGTTATGCCCTGCCATGTGGATGCAGGTGGACGAAGGACTTCTCAGTGTGACCCATGAGAGGAGTGCCTCTCCTGGGCCCCAGGCCCCAGGCTGCATGCGTATGGGAGGGAGGAGGAGAAGCAAGGAAAGCAGGAGAGACAGAAGTATATACTGAGCTGGTAGTTGGGGGAAGGGTTGGCGGGTGGGGAGAAGGGAAGAGAGGAGTCTGGGCCAAGGCCAGATGTGTCTCCCTGGGGAGTCCTCAGAGCGGGCAGCCGGACGTCGCTCCATCCTTCCCGCCTGACGGATGGGTCTGCTGCGCAGGCACAAGCTGTCGGGCCAGGCCCTGCCAAGGCAGAACAGTGGCGCTTCTGTGCGCGCTGCTCCGCTCTGCTCAGGAGGATGGGGCCCGCCTGGGAAGCCAGGGAGTGATGGAGAAAGCAGACGTCCCAGAACAGGAGCCGCGGGGTCACAGAAGCACAACTGCCTCCCGAAACAAGGAGCCACAGGATGAGGTGGGAGGGGACCGGGAATCAACGCGGGGGAGCGTTTGGGGGAAGTGCTGGTCCAAAGAAGAGAGGCAGAAGGACGCGCGCTGAAGGAGCCTGGGGATGAAGAGCTAGATGATTTGGCCACAAGCCCCCTCACCTTTAAGAACAAAGCGTCCTGCATTCAGTTGCAGAGTTTTGTTTCCCGGTCAGATGCTCAGAGACCTTCCAACCTGTCCCCCACCCCTCAGCCTTGCCCATCTCCACGGGCATCTTCTGCGCCCTCGCCTGGGACTCGGAGCCCACCACCCTCCGCCTCCGCCTGGCCTGGCCCGCGAGATCCCTGACGCTCCAGTTCGGAATCTGGGATCCGCAGGCTCCCAGATCCGCCGCTGGCCCGGCTCCGACCCGCCCGTCAGCCGCCTCCCCCTCAGGGTTAATTAAAACTTGCGAGATGGAAAGGCTGGCGCGGACGGCTCCGTTTAATTTGCAGCATCTTTCATGCTGCTGACGATCGTAAAGGGCTTTAATATTGAAATATGGGCCATTTTCCCAGCTCCAGCCCTCGCCGCGCGCTCCCCGCACCCCCACACCCAGCCACCCCGCGCTTGATGAAAGAGCCCCTGCAAATCCATTAAGGAGAGATAATTGAAAACTCCGGGGTGATATTTAAGACCGCGTGCCGACGCGGGGTGGAGGGCCTGACTGCGCCCGCTTTGCCCCTCAGTGCTGGTGCGTGCCAGTCCCTAGCACTCTAGGCCCACCAAAGCCCCGCGGACGCCCAGCCAAGGCCCGCCGTCTTAGCGGTGCCTCCTCACTCCCTGCACTCAAAGGGCTGGCTCTGCGCTAACCTGGCTCTTCCGAAGACTTGCCTGGAGACCCGAGTTCCAAAAGGAGCCACAGGGCATGCTGTGTGACAGATGCATTAGGGCCAGAATGCACGGGGGCCAAAGCATCTTGTCCCACTCCTTCAGCTTCGGTTTGATGTACTAGCATCAGGCACTGCTCAAGCTTCTGAGCACAGCATCCCCTCTGCCTGCAAACTTTTCCCTCCAGCACTTTCTACTTGGGGAATTGCTGTTCCTCTTTCAAAACCAACCCAGTTCCACCCCAAGTAATGGTGCAGTGGGGTATGGAACGTGGGTGGGAGTATAGACACACCAAGATCCTGGTGTGACCATTGTTGCAGTTGCATGATGAGGACACTATACTGCTCTGTTTTCGTATGTTTTCAATGTTCCACGACAAACATGTTTAGAAAGCAGCTGAAGCATCTTCTTTTATGCCTCCCTCTCCCATAAATACAGACTACCTGTTATCTTGTACATTGATGTTCCTTAGCACATCGTGTTGCCATTATCTGTTTAAAGTCTTTCTGCCTACTCAGCTGTGACATCTTCAGGACAGGGATCAGGTCTAATTTCACTCCTTAGCCCTTGCTCCAGGCCCAGTGCAAGGCACATAACATGTGCTCAGTAAACATCACTGAATAGGCTGCTCTCTGGGTACCTAGAAGTCTCTAGGGCTTAAGGTTAGGATACAAGCACAAGAAAGAGGGTAGGGCAAAGCGTGGAAGAGGGGTGGGGTCTGTGAGGCTGGGTTGGGGGTCATGTCTCTCTCCCACAATGACTGGCTTCAGGATGTTCCCAGAATGGGAAAAGGGTAGAGGACCCTGTTCTGCACTGTGATTTAGGAATCCTTAGGTCTCTACCTGGGACTTTTGGGGATGTTTCTCCACTTCACTCCATTTGGCTTACTCTCCCAATCAGGTTAGACACACACACACACACACACCACCACCACCACCACCACACACCTTAGACAGGGAAAGAGTGGGAAAGAGGGAAGCAGAAGAGATTATTTGAAGACCTACTTGTGCAAAAGGCATGAGTAGTTCAGGCATTTCCATGGATACCCAGCTAACCCCCTACCACAGGGCCTTTCCTACTTACCCCTGTTGCACAGTCTTCCCCAACACTGTGTCCAACACCCACACAGGGATTATACTCACAGGATGGCACTATCGAGGAAGAGGGGGCTGTTCTGACTCAGCCCCCCTAACCGCACATTGGCCCTGAAGCCACAGTTGCAATGATGCCCTCTCTATGGCCAGAATGAGATCCAAACCATTCCAAAGTTCCATTTCCAAATAAGGACTCCTCATTAGAACCACAAAACATCAGAGCTGGAGGCAACCAAAAGAGCACTGTGTCCCCTCTTAGTATCTGTGGAGCAACTAAGACTTAGAAAGGGTCTGTGATGTGCCCCAGGTCACAAAGCCATTGGTAACTGGGCGGGCGGGGTGGCTCACGCTTGAAATCCTAGCACTTTGGGAGGCCAAGGCGGGTGGATCATTTGAGGTCAGGAGTTCAAGACCAGCCTGGCCAAAGTGGCGAAACCCTGTCTCTACTAAAAATACAAAAATTAGCGGGCAGTAGTGGAGCATGCCTGTAATCCCAGTTACTGAGGAGGCTGAGGCAGGGGAATTGCTTGAGCCTGGGAGGCAGAGGTTGCAGCAAGCTGAGGTCATACCACTGCACTCCAGTCTGGGCGACAGAGTGCGACCCTGTCTCCGGAAAAAAAAAAAAAGCCATTTGTAACAAAACCAGTGCTAGAATCCCAGAAAGTTAGTGGTGGAGTTGGAATTAGAATCCCAATCTCTTGACCCACTTAAATATATACAATTGGTATTCGAAGTGCTTTTCACAAACATTATCTCATTTAATTCTCTCTCTCTCGATAGGATCTCACTGTGTCACCCAGGCTGGAGTGCAGTGACATGATCATGGCCCACTGCAGTCTCAAGCTCCTGGGCTCAAGCAATGCTCTCACATCAGCCTCAGGCACATGCCACCACACCTGGCTAATTTTTGTATTTTTGTAGAGACAGGGTTTCAGCATGTTGCCCAGGCTGGTCTTGAACTCCTGGGCTCAAGAAATCCTCCTACCTTGGCCTCCCAGAGTGCTGAGATTACAGGCATGAGCCACCGTACCTGGCCTCACTTAATTCTCACAAACCTATGAGATAGCGTCACAATTCCCATCTACAGATGAGAAAAATGAGGCTCAGGGAGAGCCATGATTTGTCCAGTGTCATACACGGGTGGAAAACAGATCCAGGATTTGAACCCCAGTTTGACTGGCTCCAATTCCAGTGCCCTTTCCACTCACTTCTCCAGTATCTCCCCCTACACCCCACCCAGCCAAGTCAGGCCAGTTTCCCAGACACTCACCCTTCATCACTGGACATCTCCAGCCAGAGGTCTTTTTTCTCCTTAGCCCAGCTTCCCCCACCCAGGGCAATGTTCTTTGCCCCAGATTTGGAGGTGGGGGTGTGGTAGTCTCCGTGGTGGTTCTGGGTACAGGTCTCCATGAACTGAAGCCATGCACAGCCTGGCCTCCTTTGCGCAGCCCTACTCCTGTTCGTGGCCACGAAGGCCTCAGACATAAATCCCCAGGTCTTGGCTCATAACCATTAGCAAGCGATTGGGCTCATCAGGACGCCTTTATGAGACTCGGGTCAAATAAATGGATTGCCGGAGGTCAGGAACAAGGGATCTCCTTGCCTTGCCTTGCTTCCGAGATGCTCCCACCGCCCAGAGGTTGGCAGATTCTGTTTGACTCACAGCTGTAGGTGGAAGTGGGGGCATTGTCACAGTGGGATAAAGATGTACAGTATCCCCTGGTACTCCACACCCATGGAAGGAAAAGCGCTTGGAGATGCACATCCTCATATAGCCCACAGTCATTAGGGCTGGAGGAACACACACACAGAGGCACATATACACACTCAGACCCCCATCTCTGATTCAAATCCACTCTTCAGCAACCAACCCCCCAACCCCACCCACCTCACATCATCTGATGTCTTCACACTCCATCCCTCCTGTGAGGTATTTCCTGAAACACTGCTTCTCAAACACCACTGTGCATACAAATGACCTGGGACCTGGTTAAAATGCAGATTCTGACTCAGTAGATCTGGTGTGGCACCTGAGCTCTGTTTTCTAACCAGCTTCCAGGTAAGGCCAGGGCTGCTTCTCCAAAGATTTTAAGCAGTGGTCCTCCCACATTAGAAGGGCAGGTGCTTTCAAAATGTAAAAGAGATAGGAGAGTGCAGTTTGGGAAATCTCCTCTCCCACTCCCATCCCCCAAATGCTGCTGTGCACACCCAGGTGACTGAACTGTTTCTAGAATGCTTTTACCTCACTCTTTACATGGCTCCCTCTCATTCTTCAAACCTCAGCCCAAGTGTCACTTCCTCAGAGAAACTTTCTCTGACCACCCAATTTATTTTATTTTATTTTATTTTATTTTATTTTATTTATTTTGTTTTTTTGAGACGGAGTTTTGCTCTTATTGCCCAGGCTGGAGTGCAATGGCACGATCTCAGCTCATGGCAATCTCCGCCTCCCGGGTTCAAGCGATTCTCCTGCCTCAGCCTCCCAAGTAGCTGGGATTATAGGCATGCGCCACCACGTCTGGCTAATTTTTGTATTTTTAGTAGAGACAGGGTTTCTCCATGTTGGTGAGGCTGGTCTCAAACTCCTGACTTCAGGTGATCCGCCCGCCCCAGCCTTCCAAAGTGCTGGGATTACAGGCGTGAGCCACCATGCCTAGCTGACCACCCAATTTAAAGGGTCCCTGCTCCACCCTGTCTGTGATTACCCACTTCACAAAAGGTCTCAAAATTGCATGTATCTATTTGCTAACTTGCTTACTTATTTTTTTGTCTGTTTCACTCTCTGAAATGTATGGTCCTTGAGTTCAGGGATTATGCCTTTTCCATTTATTCATGAATTCTTGGCAACCTGTGCCCAGTGCATAGTAGATACTCAGTAAATATTGCTGGATAGGCCAGTCACAGTGGCTCATGCCTGTAATCCCACCACTTTGGGAGGCTGAGGGGGGCAGATCATTTGAGGTCAGGAGTTCGAGACCAACCTGGCCAATGTGATGAAACCTCGTCTCTACTAAAAATACAAAAATTAGCTGGGCATGGTGGCACAAGCCTGTAATCCCAGCTACTCTGGAGGCTGAGGCAGGAGAATCACTTGAACCTGGGAGACACAGGTGGCAGTGATCCAAGACTGCCACTGCACTTCCACCTGGGTGACAGAGGGAGCCTCTGTCTCAAGAAAAATAAAAAATAAAAATAAAAATAAAAAAATAAAAGATTATCTGAAAGAGTATCTGAATCCAGGACTGAGGCTGTAGGTAATCTGAGAAAGTATCTTGGAGGAAGGAAAATGGGAGGAAAAGAACATTGTGTGAAGGACTTAAGAAAGGTGACTCAAGAAAAGTGGGAAAGCAAGGGTATCCAGATAAGATTGGCCCCATTGGTCCTGGGTTGATATGACAGGGGTGAGGAAGGGTCCTGGAGGGAGAGATCCTGGGGGTAGCAGCAGATGCCGCAGGGTCTCGGAAACCATGGCAGGCACTAAGAAGACACGTGGGCTTCCCTCCACCTCATGGACAAGGACCTTCATTTATTCATTCTTTCCTACACTTGACAAATTCTTACTGAGATCTTATTAGGCACCAGGCACTGTGTTTGGTGCTGAATATTCAGGAATGAGCACAATGGGTCTGGTTCCTACCCTCCTAGAGATTACAGTCCAGTGGGAGAGACTGACAGTAAACATATTAATATGTTACAGTTGGGCCAAGTCTACAAAGGATAGGGTATGATAACAGGTATGATGGGTGGTTCCCTAGGGAGAAGTTTCCCTAGGGAGTGACAGTCACCCAGAGTGCTGATGGGTGGAGGTCTTTTTTGCCAGCCCCCTGCCAAGCTTTCGTCCTGGACTTTCCTGCATTCCTCTGCACTGTCCCTTTAAGAGGAGCATCTCTTCCCTGAGCAAAGGCAGTTCGGGCACACAGCCTGAGCCTGCCAAGGTTGTGGACCATAAATCAACGCTGGCACTCCCTTGGCAGTGGGCTCTCCTCTGAGCTGCCCAGATGGCAGGCAAGCCTGGGGCTCCAGGGGCAGCCAGGCACTCAGGAGGGGGGAGGCGGGCAAGGGGTGGACACAGCTGGGCCCCAGGCTCCTGATGGCAGCTGCCCACTTCTGTCTAAGGGCCCTAGGCCAGGGAAAATGCCAAAGTCCTTCTATTCTAGTCCCAGGGACCTTCTGACTCCCAAGTCAGTCTAGCATGGGGCTGTTGAGATTATTGTTCCCACCCCAGCCAGGGACCAGGGCCTCATAGGCATCCTCTGAGACCAAGGGTCTTGGATGATCTCTTGGGATCACAGTCTGCTCTAACATTCAACCTGAAAGTTCTGCCTGTGGTTTGACCTTCTTTCCTCTTGCTGTAGCCAAGGTGTCTTCTTTTACCCTGCATGAAAGATGAAAGACAGTAGCTCCCCATTTAGTGGGGGCTTTGGGACTGTGTGATATCTCCCTCCGCCTTCACTTTAAGCCTCCCAGAAAAGCAGGATAAAAAGATGCTTCAAAGTCAGTTGGAGAGATGGAACTCTGCCCTCTTGGGGGTTGCCATCCCTCTGCCACCCTCACAGGTGCTGTGACAGAGGGAACATATGTTGCTCCTACCCCAGAGGATGGAGACAACATCTTAGCAGCCACAGCCCCACAGAGCTGGGCTCAGCAGGCCTTGACAGAACTGGAAAGGCATCCTCTCTCCTGGGCCTGGGCCTGGCCTAAGCCTGGGTTGTGGGCGGAGGGATGGAAGCAAAGCCTGTAGACCCTTCCCAGAAAGGAATCAACAGGCTTGACTGCTCTCCCCACGCTCACTCCCAAACAGTAGAACAGTGGAAAATTCATGGGTTCCAGAACAATAGAGATTTCCTGGGATGTCCTTGTCCTCAGATTCTCTGTGAGAAGTCAGAGTTTACAAGTCCTTAGAGATTCTTTCTCACACACTCATCATACAGATGAGGAAACTGAGATGCAGAGAAGTTCACCCAGGTCTTTTTCAGGTTGTTTTTACTACACCACATTTGCCACATGAACAGAAACTCCCAGAACTACCACTAAGCAGGATGTATTAGACTCTAAAGGTAGTAGCATAGATGGAGGTTAGGTAACAAGTAGAACTTTCTCAGAATAGTAGGTCACAGAAGAAGATGAGAAGCAAAGTAAAGAAAGTGCATTCTCTAAAACAGTGGGGTGGGGGTGGGAGGGATGGAGCCAAAGAATCAGGTTAGAATTTTGCAAAAAGATAGAAATATAGAGAACACAGGAGAGGGAGCTGGCATAGAGCCCAGAGCAAGGACAACTGGGGTGTGGAGCTTCTGGGGTTCTTCATTCAGGACCCCTAGATTTCATCTGTCCCAGGCTTCTGGGTATCACCAGTAGTTTAAAGTCAGGCCTTATCTGGGCTGATTCTCTTGGCTTTCTCCTTGCTCTCCCGGGATGGCTTATCTGGCTGCCAGAGTCATTTGCCATCTCTAATTTGTGTTTAAATTAAAGTTCCCACAAACAGAGGTTTAATGTGCTGTTACCAAGAACTCCCAGGCCCCCTGCAGCTCTGGGAAGTTGAAGGGGCTGGGGAGAAGAGGTCAGTCTGTGTGCATCCCATCAAAGCTGATCCCACTGGCATTGGACCTGGAGTGGACAGCCCAACTAAGTGTCTCCGTCCTTGCTGCTCCATCCAGAATGGTGATGACAGGGGGCAGGGCAGGGAAAAGCATGCTCACAAAGGGCCTGGGACAAACATGCCCATTCAGGTGCTCCTGGGTGGCTGTTCACCCTTTTTCAGGATGGTAAGGAGAAGGCAGGGGAGGTGGGCAATGAGAAGAGGGCAGGAGGTGGAAAATAAGGAGAGAGCAGGAGGCTCCATTCTTTAACACTTGTGTATGGCGCTCACTGTGTGCCAGCACTGTTCCTGGGCACCTCACAACTACAAATTCAACCTTCTACACAACCTGTAAGGCAGGTGTTATTATCATTAGCCCCATTTTTATAGATGGGGAAACAGAGGCATGCCCAGTATCACACAGCCAGTAAGAGGCAGATCCAAGGAGTCAATCCAGTGCCATCTATCTCCAGATTCCCAGTGCTATGCTGACACTTAAGCCAAAATTTATCTGTCACCCTCCCAATCCCTTGATCACAAGGTGAGGCTTCTCTTTGCCAGAGCAACTGAGAAAAAGTGAAGCTCCCATCCTGCTCCCCAGATCTTTACCTCTCTGGGCCACAGTCTTCTCATCTGTAAAATGAGGATAAGATACTAGGAGGGGTTGAGGGTCTGGGAAGGTTTAATGAGGCAGCTTGTCAGTGACCAGCACAGGGTAGGTCCCCAGCAGTGGCTGTTTCCTTCTCTGTAGTCTAACCATGAGCCTTCCTGCTGTGCCTTCCTGCACTGCCTCTTAATTCTGCTTTCAAAGGAGCTAGTGGCAGTGACTCTCGCCCCTTAAAGAAACTCTCAGGAGAGCATTGTTCCTCATTCATTTGTCCAAATTCTCTCTCTTCCTCTGGGAAACCCTGAAAAAGAGGGATAACAAAGCTGAACTGGAGCCCCAACCTGCTCTGTCCCCACCTCCTCTGCACCCAGGTGAGCCAGTCAGGGTGGCAACAGAAAATAAATGACACATTCGAGAGGGTTTCACTGAAGGGTTTAGTGATGTGGCAGTTTCTAAAGGCATAGACCAGATGAAGAAAACTAATCCTGGTGCTAGTGTGGCACCAGGATAGAAATATCTCTACCAAAGCCCAATGCCAACTGGGCTCACGGGACACAGGAGAGAGGCCACTCAGCAAAGCTGTGACCAAGGAGGAAACACAACCACCATCAGAGCTGCAAGCAGGCAAAAAAGGGGGCTGACAGGGAATGGAGGAAACAAATACCCTGACTCCTCTCTCCCCCTTCTCAGCCGGGAACTCTATTGGCCGAGAGATCAGGGGGCCCATGTGACACAGTCTGAAGAGGTCAGCCTCCCTGGGCAGAGCAGCACAGAGAACACAGTGGGGCAAACATAAAACCATCCCCATCCCATCCCACCCGTGAGTCCCTGCTCGGATACCAAAGCCTCCTCTCTGCTGCTTTATTGCCACCACTGTCACTGCCTGCAGCCAAACAGTGACTGACAGGGAAGGAGAGTCAAGACTCCCTCAAGCAAATACTCCAGCTCACAAGGAAGGTGGGATCCAGGCAGAGGGCAGCTTGAGGGAAGAGGGCTGTGTCTGAAGGGCAGCATAGCAGGGACTGCCCACTCCCAGCATGGAGAGACAAAGAGAAGGACCGCACTGGGGGTGAGGATGCCAAACGGTGATAGTAAATGACTCTCTTTCCTCAACATATGATACAAATCACTGTGGATCTCCCTTCCTCCTCCCCTCTCTAGACCGGGAGCCCTTGTGGGGAAGGTATTTTGTCTTGTTCTTCCTTGATATCTAGCACAGTGCCTCTTAGGGGCATAATCAGAATTTATTGAATAAATAAGCAAACAGATATGTAAATGAATGAACAAACCCATTTGCAGCTCATATGCACAGCCCTGGGACCTGGTCAGGGAGCACTGTTGAATGAATGGCATGCAGCATTCCTACAGAAGTTTTATTTCAATCAGTTCCATCACCTACCACCTCAGGTTTCCTTTCAGCCACTCAGTCACGGGCCACACAGCCCACGTTTGTCTCCACACTGGCCAGAGGCTGTGCTTTGATAGCACCCACTCAAATGTGCAGTGACCTCATCTAGCTCCTCCTGATGGAGGAATAAGGGGAGTAGCAAGTGACTTCCTTTCTCACAGCAGCCTTTCTGTGAGCTCTTTCTTGAGAGAAATCTTGATCCATGGCAAACCGTCTGTGGTATTCTCCCTTGGTGGGAGATGGGAGGAGGGAATGACAGTGCCAAGGATGCAGCTGAAGGATCATCACCCTGGGAGCCACAGCTCTGGCTTACTTTTTCCAATGGGCCATAAAGACTGAGGGAGGCAGGCGGAAGCAGGGGCACCAGACTAACAAACTAGAGTTTCAAGTGTAGTCCCCATGCGATGCCCACCTTGCGAAGTGGTTACAGATGCTGGGGCTGGGCTCAAGATCCCTGTTCTACCACCTGCTGGCTGTACAACCTTGGGTAAGATACTTGATTACCATGCCTCAGTTTCTGCATCTTAAAAAATGTGAATAACAGTAATGCCTACTTCACATGGTGGTGAAAAAGTAGATGAGTTAATAGTTATGAGATACAGCCAGGCCTGGTGGCATGGGCCTATAGTCCTGCTATTCAGAAGGCTGAGGTGGAAGGATTGCTTGAACCCAGGAGTTCAAGACCAGCCTGGGTAACATAGCAAGACTGCTCCCCCCCTTTTTATTTTGAGATGGAGTTTCACTCTTGTTGCCCAGGCTGGAGTGCAATGGCATGATCTCAGCTCACTGCAACCTCCACCTCCTGGATTCAAGTGATTCTGTTGCCTCAGTCTCCAGATTCCAGGGATGAACCACCACACCCAGCTAATTTTTGTGTTTTGCATTTTTAGTAGAGATGGGGTTTCACCATGTTGGTCAGGCTGGTCTCGAACTCCTGACCTCAGGTGATCTGTCCACCTCGGCGTCCCAAAGTGCTGGGATTACAGGTGTGAGCCACTGCGCCTGGCTGCAAGACACCCATCTCTCTAAAAATGAAAGTTTTGAACTATTTAGGAGAGTACATGATCCATGGTAAGCTCTATATAAATTTTGTTACATAAAATTAAGGTTCTAGTCCCATAAGCTTTTTTCTGTAATAAGCTGCTCAGCCTTAGATACCTCTCATATTTGCTGTGAGAAGTGAACAAATGCATGTGAAAACTGTAATGTGTTTATAATTTTTATTATTTGTCATCAAGATCATGTAAGAAAGGTCCCCTTCTTGACAACATAATCAGCTCTTTGGCTTGTTCAAGTCTTTTGTTGACAATATCCAGGCCTCTCATGGTTCCTCCCACACACAACGGGCTGCACAGCAAGGGCTAGAAGGAAAAAGCCTTTGAAGGCAAAACCGGTCCTTCCCTTCCTTAGCCTTGAAGCAGGAATAACCACTAGACAGAAGGCTGTGAGGGAGGACTCAGGCACTTCCACTGTGGCTGCTTTGCCTTTGGGCAGGAGGGGAAACTGATCAGCTCCCTCTGTGGTAGGGCCGCAGGAAGAGATGTTGGCATTTGTTATGAAGTGCTAGGCATAAAAACACATACATGGCCGGGTGCAGTGGCTCACGCCTGTAATCCCAGCACTTTGGGAGGTCGGGGCGGGCGGATCACAAGGTCAAGAGTTTGGGACCAGCCTGGCCAACATGGCGAAACCCCGTCTCTGCTAAAAATACAAAAATTAGCAGGAGTGGTGGTGGGCACCTGTAATCCCAGCTACTCAGGAGGCTGAGGCAGGAGAATCACTTCAACCCAGGAGGTGGAGGTTGCATTGAGCTGAAATCATGCCATTGCACTCCAGCCTTGGCAACAAGAGCAAAACTCCATCCCAAAAACAAATAAACAACAACAACAACAAAAACAGAAACAAAAAACAACAAAGAAACCCATACACACATACTTATCCCAGTGTCCAGAGCAAATGTTCTGCCACTTACTGCTATGGGTGTGATTTCAGATAGCTACTTAAACCCTGAGTTTCGGTTTTTCTCATCTTCAAAATGGAAATATTGATGCCTAATTCAAAGGGTGAAAATTAATGAACTATAGAAACCCCTTGGTGTATGTCTGGTCCAATAAATGGTGGCTCTTTTTAGCTAACATTTTGTAATATCTGCCCACTATCTCCTCCAAGGGATGGAGAAGTAATGCTGACTTCCAGACTAGGAAAGGTAGTGGTAGCAGAAAGTGATTTACAACTCGACATTTTTCACATTTTCTTTCCAGAGCACATAGTAAGTTCTTGTTAGTTCATTCATTCATTGAACAGTGTTTAGAAGTTTGAACAAGCTTGAACAACTTGCCATCATTTTGCTCACTTGTATTCATCTTACTCTCACCACTAGAACTGCAAGGTCCATGAGGGCAGAGGCAGTGTCTGTTGCTGGGTGAGTGACTGGATTGACCTCAAAGCATGTCTGAAGACTGAAATGGGCCAGGCAAGGAGATGGAAACTGGAGGCCTGGATTCTGGGCTCAGTCATACCTCCAAGAACATAACTTTCCCTCGACCCTGGAGTCTTCACAGACCTTCCTTCCACTGTGAGGCACTGGATAATCACTTGAGACCAGACTCAGGGAACTCCTCCCTCATGGGAAGACATTCATTCATCCACTCCATGTCTCTGAAGCCCCAAGAGAAGGATCTGAATCCCCTAGTCTGAAGAGTCAGCAAGTTTCCAACATAGCAATCATGATAAAAAGGGAGAATTGATAAAGGAGGGAGCAGCCCCAACTCAGTAACAACAGAGGGAGGAAAATTCCAGCTAGTACATGTACTTAATATGAAAGCAGACATGTGCCAAGACCCTGCTTTCATGGATATTAGGTGTTCCCAAATATAAGAAACACCCATTCTTGCCCACAGCCCTCACTGGATACTATCCAAGATGTCTAGAGAATAAGAGGAAAGAGAGAATCATAATATCCAAAAGGTGGAAAAAACCCAAATGTTCACCAATAGATGAACGGATAAACAAAGTGTGATATATCCATACAATGGAATATTAGTCAGCCTTGAAAAGGAATGAAGTACTGATAAATGCCACAACATGGATGAACCTTGAAAACACTATGCTCAATGAAAGAAGCTAGTCACAGTAGGTCTCTTATTATATGATGCCATTCATATGAAAGTCCGGAATAGGAAAATCTACAGAGACTGAAAGTACATTAGTATTGTTAAGGGCAAGAAGGAATATGGGGGGATAGGGAGGTGATAGCTAAAGGTTACAAGATTTCTTTTTGAGGTGATGAAAATGTTCTAAAATTAACTATGGTGATGGTTTGGCATACCTGTGAATATACTAAAACCATTGAATTGTACATTTCAAAGGGTGAATTGTATGACACATGCATTATACCTCAAGAAGGTTGTTTTTTAAAAAGACAGCGTAAGGGGTAGGGGGAAGTTGAGATGAAGCAGGAAAACTGTGATCAGAAACAAAGCTCAGGGGCTGTCTGGCCTGGCTGCCCCAAGTCAAAGCCTGCATTTCATACAAGCAATGTTAGGGTAGCCCCCAAGCCATGATTCGGAAAGATAAATTGACCCCAGAAGGTATAGGGCTGGGTCCCTTCTCCCCTGACAGCTCCCTTTCTGTGTTTTTTCTGGCACAAGAAACTCTGTCATCTTGTATAAATAGGAGAAATTTATGACAGTTTTCCCTCTTCTTCTCCCTGGTGGGCTACTAGGAAAGGTCCCGGGGGAGGAGGGAGCCTGAAATTCCAAAAATATAAATGTGGAAAGACTGGAGGGGGTCGAGGAGTCTCTTTGCCTGCCTTGACTCTGGCCCCAGCTCTCCTTTCCCTTTGCATGTTTGACCATCTGGGTGATGCAGAGGGTAGAGAGCTGGTGCAGCCCGTTCTCTCTGCAAGCCCAAAAGAGATGGGTCCCAAAGCAGATATCCGACAGGAGGGGCACAAGGGAAATCAAGAAAATAGGCTTGGCTGTCTCATGAAATAATTGGAGGAGACACAGACCACTGCCCTCCTTCCTGGATTTGGCTATTTTTGTACTTCCCTGTTTGTTGAGGCAGCCTGATACAGTGGGAAGAGAACTCGTCCTAGATTTAGAAAGATTGACAGAGAAACTAAGTGTGTGACCTTAAGCAAGTCATATCTTCTCTCCGGGCCTCACCTGTAAAAAGAGGGAGGGGACTGAATTTATCAGGGGTTTTCAAATGAGTTTAACTCTGGGGTCCTTCCTTCAAATAAAACCGTATGTAGTGACCCAACATGAACACGAGTAGTAGCCTGCTGAGCTTCTTGAAGGTAGGAATGGGAGTCAGGGCCCTGTGGTGACTGGTGAGAGGCTTGTCCAAGCACAAGATGATCTCCATGGCCTTTCCAGCCCTGTCCTCAGGAGGGATTTGCCCCCATGGTGAAGAGGCTCAGTTCTGCACACCCAGTGGGCTTGAAATCCAGCTCCACCCCCTCTTGTGTGTCCCTCAGCACATAACTTACCTTCCTTGAACCTGTTTCCTCGTGTTTAAATTGGAATAATAGTAACACATATCTCAGAGGATTGTCACATAGATTACACTAAATAATGTGCATAGAGTCCTTTGCATACTATCTGGCCCAATAAATATTATTATAGTTATTCCGTGATCTGATGTAATCAGTTTTTTATTTTGAGACAGAATCTCATTTTGTAGCCCAGACTGGTGCACAGTGGCATGATCTCGGGTCACTGCAACCTCCACCTCCTGGGTTCAAGCAATTCTTCTGTCTCAGCCTCCCAAGTAGCTGGGATTACAGGAGTGTGCCACTGTGTCCAGCTAATTTTTGTATTTTTTAGTAGAGATGGGGTTTTACCATGTTGGCCAGACTGGTCTCGAACTCCTGGCCTCAAGTGATCCACCTGCCTCAGCCCCACACAGTGCTGGGATTACAGGCATGAGCCATCGCACCTGGCCTGATATAATCTTTTTAATTTGAAATATCTGGTGTGAGAAGGTGAATTGGAAAGGATGACAGCAAAACTTCTATAACACAAAGGCCCCCAAACACAGTAGCATATAGAAAACAGAAGTTTATTTCTCACTTAGTCTGGGAGGAAGTTGTTCCGGATAGCAGGCAGCTCTGTTCCTCCTAGTCAGTCAGGGACGTGTGTTCCTTTCATACCTTTGCTTTGTCTTCTCTTAGGGATGTCTTTTCAGTTGCCTGGTCAAACCTGTCTCAGGCACATCTGCCCAGCTCATGAAAGAGAGAACACAAAGGAGAATTTACCCAATCCGTCAGGCTTTGAGGACATGCTCACCTCACATTCCCCTGTGTCTACACCTGGCAGTAAGAGCAGCTGGGAAATGGAGTGTCCAGCTGGGTGTCCCTCCACCCTCGTGCAGCAAGGAAAGAAGAGATTTTAGTGGACAATGGGCAGTCTTAATCCAGGGCTCAAACCCACACCTGAGCTGTCCTCTTCCTCTTCTCTTCCCAAAGGAAGGGAAATAAAGTCTACAGCCCAGAAAACAATGTGACCACCCATCCCCTACCCAATCAGGTCCCTGCCATTCATCCCAAGATCAGCTGTCTTTCTTGGGAAAGTGGCTTGGAAGCCTCTCTCCAGAAAGACCACCCTTCTGTCCATCTTCTTCACATGGGTGGATTTGAGAAAAGTTTCTGTCCCCACTGCCTGCCTGCCACTCCCTGTCTCAGTTTCAGCTCACGCTCTAGCCCTTCGTTCCCAGTCACCAAGAATGACTACAAATGCGGGGGAACAGGAGGACTTGAAACAGTCATGGAAATCGAGACTGGGGCACAGAAGCCATGCTCAGAAGCAGCGTAGGTGAGGGTTCTGATGCCAGGAAATCTAGCTACTACTGTGTAACCTAAAGCGGGGATTAAGCTCTCAGAACTTCAATGAACTCTTGGAAATAGGGATAAGAAACCCACTTGTCAGGGCTGTTGTGAACATCAAATGTGATCATGTATGTACCTAGTACATAGTATGCCTTCAATAAATGGTAAGGCAAACCCAAGGCAAATTGAATTCATGTCCATTACTCTGACCCAGCCTTTGCATAAATTCTTTTTTCTTCTCCTTCCTTGTCAATGCATGGCTCCCTCCCTCTTCTTTACTTCCTATCCTCATTCCCCTACCATCTGAACCCTGATGTGGAATCTCTTTTCTCAGGAAATCTTCCATGATTGAAACATTCCTGCTTGGCCACTTCCCACTCCAATACTCTATCTTCGCCCATCTTCCATCTACCCCATGGTCCTGGCCCAAGTTTACACGTGTCCCATTTCTCCCTTCAAAAAGCATGCAGCAATGGAAGGGCTTTAAGTTTGCCATCAAGCAGATCGGAGTTCAGATGCCAACTCTGCCAAGTTCTAGCTTTAGGACTTTGTCAGATCACTTCCCCTCTTTGAATCTCTGTCTTCCCAACCCTCTGGTGAGGTCAAGTGTGTGTGGGCTGGTACATAAAGGATATTTAATCTCCTCTGCTCTACCCAACCTCCCCCAACTCACACTCCCAGGACTAACTCTCTACTAAAGGGAGTTATTAGACCAAGAAAGTAATTCTCCCATTACCAGCCCCACCCCAACCCTGCCGAGGGAAAAAGAAGTGACTTCGAGTCTATGGGTCTTGGAGGGACCACCAACCCAAGAGCTAGAGCAGAGGAAGGACTTGGATATCCCAGATTCCAGGGTTATAGTATCTCTCTCCAAGCCCTCATATGCAGCCCCAGTTGCAGGACTAGCTTCAGGGATAGGAGTGAAAGAGTTGATCTGATTCCAGTCTTAGCCTGTAAGTAGTAGCTCACCTGTGCCTCTATTTTCAACCTTCCTAGATCAGAAGAGCAACAATATCAGTGACAACTAATGCTTACATAGTGTTTCCTGTGGGGTGGGCATTGTTCTAGGCTCTTCGTACATATAACTCATTTAATCCTGACAGCAGCCTTTGAGCTAGGTTCTATTAACCCCATTTTACAGACAAGGAAACTAAAGCACAAGGGGTTAAGTAACTTGCCTAGGTCATACAACTCACATAAGGCATGACTGAGATTCAAAATCAGGCCGTCTAGCTCCAGAATCCATCCTGTTAACCACTCTGCCATAAAAAGAGCTAACATTTACTGGCAGGTTCTATGTGTCAAGCACTGTGGAAAACACATGGCATGTATTTCCTCTAATTCCAAATAACCCCCTGAGATAAGTTCTATTATTAGTATCCCTGTTTTACAGGTCAAGAAACTAAGGCAGAGAGAAAAGTTAAGCAACTTGCCCTGAGTCACACAGCTAGATATTAATAGTTTCAGAACTCCTAGCTGTTTTGCCTCAAATCCCACCTCCCCACCCCTGCTCAAAGCCCCTCCTCTTCTAGGTGGGTTGTTTAGTTCCTATCACCAGTTCTTCACAAATTGGCTTTACCCCCCACAGCCTACAACCCTTGTTCTCCAAAACTCCTGTTGACCTCCGTCCCTTTCCCTTCCCACTTTCTCCCTAGACCCTCTGCTCCCCACAAAGTCCCCCAAACCATTCTGTCCCTCTCCCTCTGCTCCCCACCCATCCTCCCCCACAACTCCTGCTAAAACAGATGAATTTCACCAAAAAAGACCATCAGACCTTCCCCAAGCAGGCCCCCACTGTGCCTGATTGCACACCCCCAGGGGAGGCACCACAGTGGCTAAGCTGGAGAGCCAGAAATAAAATCCTCATTCTAATTCCCTGCCCCTTCTTCCTATCACTCATCTGGGAATCCAGGGCAAAGAAGGGAGCTAAAGTGCAGAGCATTCATTTAATATTAACAAATTGAAATGAATTCTTTTAATGCCAATTAACTTGGAGCGGCCCCTTATTAATAGTAATTTAGATTCATACTTGGGAGAAGCAGGGACGAGGGCTGGGCCAAATGTGCCCAGAATGTCAATGTGACTGGGGAACTGAAAGGGGAGGGGTGGCAGTTTTACTTCTGCCCAGTTGGGTTCTGTTTCCCTGAGAGAAATGGACAGTCACTGGAGGCGGATCTTTGGGAAACATAAATTACTCTTGTAAGTTTATTTTTGTTACTTCAAGGAATCTGAATAGTTTGAAGCCATGTCACACCATTTTAAGAGTTTATTTTCACAGTAATGCTAAAAAGAAGAATTTCCTCAGAGCTGGGATTTACTTCAAACTCTCTCCTAAGCCAAACCTTACTGACCAAAGGGACAAGTCCCCAGGCCAGCTCTCTACCCTTCTTTGTTCAGAGCTAGAGCCAGAGATCAATATGGGCTTCCCCAATCCCTGCCCCTTCTACCTTACCCAAAACTAAAAGGAAGAATCAACACTGTGTGTCTCTCTGAGAAGTCTCCCTCAGGAGATAAAAGACCCAAAGGGCTGACCCCTAAGCTAACAGCTTACATTTAAGGAAGAAAAACAATCTGCCTGCACTTTTCTTAGAATTTAGGGAAAAAAGGAGAATTTAAAATTCAATTTCATGTATCAGAGTTCTCCGGAATACAGCCAAGTGGAAAGAACTTAGTCCCAAATGAAAAAGTTGAGCAGAAATTCTTCTCTCACTCGTTTTGCCGGCTTGGAGGTCAGACTGGAGGTGTCCTGAACTAGAACCAGAGCATAGGTTCTGACCCAAGAAGGACACTGTCTACTTCCCAGGCATCCCTCCTTGGCTGGGAGGAGAGGGGAGGATGAGTCCATTGGAAGCTGAGAATTGTGGAAGCTGGGGATGGGAGTTTTGAGATGGAGGAGGCAGGCGTGTGAAGGAGGTCAGGGAAAGGCAAGTAAATCTACTAACCATTGCAGTTTATAAAACAAAAACCTTAAAAATGGTTTAACATGCAAAAGGTTAAATTTTAAAAAGAGGCCAGGTTTTAAAGAAGGTAAAATACCTCAAATTTAGACATAATAAAAATGAGGAAAATACTCAAAACATTTCAAGCAAATTGTTCTTCAGAAGAGGAGAGGTTGGAATTAATCAAGAGACCTTTTTTACACACACATCCCCCAAGAATTTCCCAAACAATAAATTCATTTACAAAACAAAATAGGAATCAACACAAAACCTCATCCACATACAGAGAAAAATAAATTGTGGTGATTCTGTAACAGCTGAAAAACTAGTGAGGGAGGAGAAAAATGAATAAACTCTAAATCCATTAGGTGATATTTATAAATAGCAAAATTGGAGGATGGAATGGATAAAGGAGTTGAACTTATCATTAAAGAAGTAACACATGTGAAAACATAAGGTGTAACTCATCCCCAAAGAAAAGTAAACTCTCCATAAAGTAGCAAGTATAGAAATTTATTGAAAAGGAGGAAAGTACCACTCACCCCCCCAATATAAGTGTATTAATTTGAATTAAAATTTTCTCCAAATCCGAGATAGGTTACACAAAAGAATACAAAAAGATTATTTTTCTTTCAACTAAGAGGAAAAACAAAATCTGATTTAAATTCACTAATGGGACAGGAAGGGAGGCTGTGGTTTGCAGGTGCTAGTAAACGGGATGAGGGTTGTGAAGAGTTTGAGGGGTAGAGGACCAGCTTACCTCGCTTTGGAGCCGCAGCGGCCAACAGGAGTGGGCAAAGGACCCTGCCAGTGCCTGAGTGATAGGGGAAATAAGGAATAGGGGATTCGGGTGCCCCTAGACGAATGAGGAGGATGGAAAGACTGGGGGTGCCCATCTCCCCTCCTCTGCCCGCCTCCCTCCCTCCGGTACCCAGGCCTAGAGAGCTACTGAAAGTTACAAATTGCTTCCATTATTAGCTCATCCCAGGCGGCCTGGTCATTGGCCAGCCCCTGGCCACGTGGTCCCTCGTACCAATCGATCGAATTTCTAGTCGCAATTCTCTGTCTGTCCCTCAGCTCTGGGGAGAAAGTGGGGGCTGTGGCGTGGGGGCTGAGGTCCAGTTTGGGGCGGGGTGGGAGAGGAGTCCTTGAGTATCCTGTCCCAGGGCCAAACCCCCAGGAGTCCAATCTTCAAGACCTCCTTGAGCCGACTTCCACCGATGGAGGGGGATCTTCAGGGTGCCTGCTGGGTTCTCAGGACTCCTCTTCAGATCCTAGTTTGGACCCCTCCGGGTTAGAAAGGATGGGCTCAGCACATCTGGTGAGGCAGGCAGGTCGTCGCTGCAGCACAGAATGATCCCATGGCCCTCAAGGCGTGGTGTCAGCTGAAAGTTCACTGATCTGTGAGCCCTCTGCCTCCCTCCTCCGTTGAAAGAGCAGTGGCGTGCCCCACTTCTAAAAGCCCTGGGGCTCCTGCAAGTGGACACCGCTTTCCAGGACAGGTGCAAACAGGGATGGTGCGAAGCCGAGGTGGAGACAATGCGATCACGTGTGGCACTGGCGTATCCCACAGCAGATGGTGTGAATGTGTGTCACCGGAGGCATATGGGGTGATGGCAAAACCAACAATGGTGTCCAGGCATGTGCCCGGTGGAAAGGGGGAACAAGTGGCCTTTCCCTGAGTGCCAAGGGAATTCAAAGAAGACCTGGGAACCTGGACGGGGCCTTTGCCTCAGTCCAAGCCACATTTTGAAATGCCTGCCAGAGGAGCACAGAGGTTTCTGCAACATTCACCCCACCCCGAAGCCTCCACCGCCCAGGTAGCCCTGACGCAACTTCCCTGCACCCGGCCCCAACCCCATCCCCAGGCCCAGCCCAGTTCCTTTGGTTTCCTGACATTCATTACAGACAAAAGATTCAGGGAATCAGTCCACCTATGAGCAGAGGAGAGGATATCCCTCATTTGTGAGACAGGACATGCAAAGGAAATGGGACACCACCTGTCTTAGAAGACAAGGCCAGTCATGATAACCTAGCGCTCATTCTAGGCAATCCACCCACCGATGAGGTGAAACAAGGAGACCAAAGAAGCTTCCCTGTCTGAGACACGCATGGAAGCCAAGTGTTCCAGGCTTATCAGACCTGCCCAATCCAGCAGAAACAGGTTTGGAGAGAGAAAGAGTCATGTCGCGGATCTCCAGAAAGTGTCTCCCTGATGGACTGGGAAGCGATCTTCGTAGAAGTTATTCAGCCAGACCAAGAGGCAACTAGGCCCCTCAGAAACAGGGGAGACAGAGCAAGAGGGAGGACAGAGCACAGGCCAGAGCCCAGGCAGGTTACAGAACCTTGCCACCGCCACAGGCATAAGGGGAGGGGTGCGAAACGCATGACTTGTCCAGAGAGGCCAGCATTCCAGGGACAGGGATTGTTGCTGTCTCCCATTCCCGGCTTCCTCTTCAGAATTGTATCGTGGTGTGGCTTCATTGCTCAGAGAAGAGCCGTGCAGGGGTACAACCATCTTCTTGGAGGTGTGTCTGCTCCTCTCCTGCCGGACAATGAGCTGCTGTGGGGTTTTGTCCTGGGTTGGAGTGTGGTCCTCTTGATCCTAGAAAAGAGGCCGCTCAGGATAGGGATGAGACTTCGATTGCTCCGGGACCGACGCATCTCCTCACGTGATCGAGGACTTCACAAACCCAGAGTGGAACCGCCATGAAAACGATGGACAACCGGCCACGGGACCCAGACAGAGACACAGAAAGAGGCTCAACAAAGACTGGCCGACATGCAAAAAATCGCATTTTGGCAAACAGAGCACATTCGTCCAAAGACACACACACACACAGGCATACACACACACACACACACACACACACACACACAGACAAACAGAGAGAGGGAAAGAAACACACAGAGGGTGAGAGACAGAGAGAGAAGAGAGAATGGGAGACACACACACACACACAGTCCTACAGTGGTGGCACAGAAACACGCATTCCCAGGCAACCCCTGAGGTTAACTAATAGTGGAAAATATGTATCTAAGAATACACTTGGAACAGAAATGTGAAAAACCAAAAGTAAGAGATATTATGAAGGAGCAAATATAAAATGACCCAGTGCTAAAGAGGCCACAAAGAAAATTGTAGAAGAAAATGACAAGAGGCATTGTGCCTTAATGAGTTTGTGCTTCTATATAAGAAAATACACTAGGCTGGGTAATTTCTGAAGAACAGAAATGTATTTCTCACAGTTCCATAGGCTAGAAGTCCAAGATCCAGGTGCCAGCAGGATTGGTGTCTGGTGAGGGCCTGGTCTCTGCATCCAAGATGGTACCTTGTGCACTGTGTCTTCAGGAGGAGAGGCACTGTGTCCTCACATGGCAGAAGGCGGAAGGGTAAAACAGGGGAAGCCCACTCCCTCCAGTCCTTGTGTAAGGATCCTACACCCATTTGTGAAGACTCTCCCTTCATGACTGAATCACTACCTAAAAGCCCTACTTCCTAATCCTATGACATTGGTGATTAATTTTAGGGGGACACATTCAGAGCATAGCACCCTATATTCAATTTCTTAAAAATTATTTTGTTGTTTTGCTTTTCTGTTTTTCAAATGGCTTAAGTGCACAAAATTGGATTAATCATAATCCTTGGCTCATAGTACACCTTGGCTCCTATTTCACCCTTGTCTGTGCCTGGGCCTCTGTGTAAATGTATTTGAACAATATGGTAATCACTTGTCAACTTACAACACAACCAAAGAACTAGGGTTCTGACCCTAACATCTGCTCCTCCTCTGTCCTTTTTCCTGATTTTCACCCTTCAGCCCGAGGGTAACTACTACCCTGAATTTATGTTTAGGATTCTCTTCCTTTAAAAAAAAACACATTGTTTTATTGCATACATATGATTACCCTAAATGACATGTTACTTAGTTTTTAAGGGTATAATTTATTTACCCATTCTCCTATTAATTTACCCATTCTCCTATTAGTGAACATTTGGCTTATTTCCAGATTTTTCCTATTATGAATGGCATTACGTGAGCATTTTTTTTTTTTTACTACATCTTGTACATATGGGCAAGAGTTTCTCCAGGGCCTGTGGTAGAGAAATTACTTTGCCATAACATATGAGAATGCTCAAATTTATAAGATAATCCAAATTGCTTTCCAAAGTGGTTGTTCTAATTTAAACGCTCACCTCCTGTATTAGTTCGAGATGATCTTGTTGATCCACAGTCTCTCCATATATGGTGATATGGTTTGGCTGTGTCCACACCCAAATCACAGCTTGAATTCTATCTCCCAGAATTCCCACATGTTATGGGAGGGACCCAGGGTGCGGTAATTGAATCACGGAGGCCAGTCTTTCCTGTGCTATTCTCATGATAGTGAATAAGTCTCATGAGATCTGATGGGTTTATCAGGAGTTTCTGCTTTGGCTTCCTCCTCATTTTCTCTTGCTGCTGCCATGTAAGAAGTGCCTTTTACCTCCTGCCATGACTCTGAGGCCTCCCCCACCATGTGGGACTGTAAATCCAATTACAGTTCTTTTTCTTTACACCTCTTTTTCTTCTCAGACTTGGGTATGTCTTTATCAGCAGTGTGAAAACAGACTAATACAGTAAATTGATACCAGTGGAGTGGGGTGCTCCTGAAAAGATACCCAAAAGTGTGCAAGCAACTTTGAAACTTGGTAACAGGCAGAGGTTGGAACAGTTGCGAGGGCTCAGAAGAACACTGGAAAATGTGGGAAAATTTGGAACCTCCTAGAGACTTGCTGAATGACTTTGACAAAAATGCTGATAGTGTTTTGAACAATAAGGTCCAGGCAGAGGTGGTCTCAGATGGAGATGAGGAACTTGTTGTGAACTGGAGCAAAGGTAACTCTCGTTATGTTTTAGCAAAGAGAATGGCAGCATTTTGCCCCTGTCCTAGAGATTTGTAGAACTTTGAACTTGAGAGTGATAATTTAGGGTATCTGCTGGAAGAAATTTCTAAGCAGTAAAGCATTCAAGAGGTGACTTGGGTGATGTTAAAGGCCTTTGGTTTTATAAAGGAAGCAGAGCATACAGTTTTGGAAAATTTGCAGCCTGACAATGTGATAGAGAAGAAAATCCCATTTTCTGAGGATAAATTCAAGCTGTCTGCAGAAATTTGCATAAGTAACAAGAAGCTGAATGTTAATCCCAAAAACAATGGGGAAAATGTCTACAGGACATGTCATAGGTCATCACAGCAGCCCCTCCCATCACAAGCCTGGGACCTAGGAGGATAAAATGGATTTCCATGCTGGGCCAGGTTGACTGTGCTGTGTGTAGCCTAGGGCCTTGTTTCTCTGCGTTTCAGCCCCTCCAACCATGGCTGAAAGAGGAAAACATAGAACTCAGGCCATGGCCTTGAGAGTGCAAGCACCAAGCCTTGGCAGCTTCCATGTTGTGTTCAGCCTGCACATGCATAGAAGTCAAGAACTGAAGTTTGGAAACCTCCACCTAGATTTCAGAGGATGTTTGAAAACACCTGGATGTCCAAGCAGAAGTTTGCTGCAGGGGTGGTGCTCTGATGGAGAACCTCTGTTAGGGCTGTGCAGAAGAGAAATGTGGGGTCAGAGCCCCTATGCAGAGTCCTTACTGGGGCACTTCCTAGTGGAGCTGTGAGGAGAGGGCCACTCTCCTCCAGACCCCAGAATGGTAGATTCACTGACAGCTTGCACCATGAGCCTGGAAAAGCTGTGGACACTCAACGTCAGCCCATGAAAACAGCCACGAGGTGGGCTATACCCTGCAAAGCCACAGGGGCAGAACTGCCCAAGGCTGTGGGAGCCCACCTCTTAGATCAGCATGACCTTGATGTGAAACATGGAGTCAAAGGAGATCATTTCGGAGCTTTAAAATTTGACTACCTTGCTGGATTTTGGACTTGCATGGGGCCTGTAACCCCTTTGTTTTGGCAAATTTCTCCCATTTGGAACGGCTGCATTTACTCAATTACCTGTACCCCCATTGTATCTAGGAAGTAACTAGCTTGATTTGGATTTTACAGGGTCATAGGCAGAAGAGACTTGCCTTGTCTCAGATGAGACTTTGGACAGTGGACATTTGGGTTAATACTGAAATGAGTTAAGACTTTGGGGGACTGTTGGGAAGGCATGATCGGTTTTGAAGTGTGAGGACATGAGATTTGGAGGGGTCAGGAGCAGAATAATATGGTTTGACTATGTCCCTACCCACATCTCAACTTGAATTGTATTGCTCAGGATTCCCATGTGTTCGGGGAGGGAACAAGGGGGAGGTAGTTGAATCTTTAGAGCTGGTCTTTCCCATGCTATTCTCGTGATAGTGAATAAATCTCACAAGATCTGATGGGTTTATCAGTGGTTTTGTCTTTTGCTTCTTTTGCCTCCTTCTCATATTCTCTTGCCACTGCCATGTAAGAAGTGCTGTTCATCCACCACCGTAACTCTGAGGCCTCCTCAGCCATGTGGAACCCTTAATGCAATCAAGCCTCTTTTTCTTCCCTGTCTCAGTTATGTCTTTATCAGCAGTGTGAATATGGACTAATACATTTTGTATTGTCAAACTTCTTAATATTTGTGGAGAGAATAGATGTGTAGTATCTTGTGCATTTCCCTGATTACTAATGAGGTTGAGAAAATTTTTATGTTTTGCAGGCTTTCTCTTTTGTGAAATCCCTATGAATGCATTTTCCCAATTTTCTGTTGGGTTGCTATTTTTAAAATTAGAAATAACTGTCTTCAATCCAAAAGCTTACACATGGCAGATCCCTTCACACCAGTTCACAGTACAAAGTAACTCCTTGCTTGTAGAAAACATTATTATTATCATTATTATTTTTGAGATGGAATTTGACTTTTGTAGCCCAGGCTGGAGTGCAATGGTGTGATCTCGGCTTACTGCAACCTCTGCCTCCCAGGTTCAAAGGATTCTCCTGCCTCAGCCTCCCAAGCAGCTGGGATTACCAGTGCACACCACGATGGCCTGCTAATTTTTTGTATTTTTGTAGAGACAGGGATTCACAATGTTGGCCAGGCTGGTCTCGAACTCCTGACCTTAGGTGATCCACTTGCCTCGACCTTCCAAAGTGTTGGAATTACAGGCAGGAGCCACCACACCCAGACTAGAAAACATTATTCAATAGCAAACAGTAGCAGTATGCTTGGGGGTTTTAGGATTGATTATTTTCAAGTCTCTAGAAAAGCTCAATGCATTACCTTAGGCTATAATCTCAGGGCAGAGTCTCATCTGTTAATGTGGGGCTGGTCTAAGGGTCCTTCCACCTCTCAGATTTATGGTTTCCGATGTTGAACTGCTCCCTGTCACCCACCCATCCTCGGTTTTGTTTGTTTGTTTTTACAGAGACGAGGTCTCACTATATTGCCCAGGCTGGTCTTGAACTCCTGGCCTTAAGCGATCCTCCTGCCTTGGCCTCCCAAAGTGCTGGAGTTACAGATGTGAGCCTCTGTGCTCAGCCCATCCTTGGCTGTTCAAGTGTAGAGGTAAGTAGTAGATGCCAAGTTTACCTCCAGGTAAGAAGGGGCAGATGCCCCAGGGCAGAATCATAACCATAATCAGGCCTCCCACTGCATGAAGACATTATGTTCTGAAGCTTAAACCTGGACAAAGGTCTGACCAGTAGCACTGTGTTCATGAATGTCAGGTCAAAAATTTAAAACTGGGACTATCCAGAAGAACCTGGTAGATGCAGGTGCAGTCCACAGTCCAATGGTCAGCCTTGATAACAGGCCACCTGTACTTTCTCTTTATCATGGAGGCCTTGATGTAAAAATTGATGACACTTTCTTGCTTCTGGTGTGCTTCCCTTTCTTCTTCATTTTCCATAAGTAGTTTCCTCCATCCCACCTCCCAACAGGCCACAGTCAATTCAGGACATTTTAACCATGAAAATGAGTCTCCATAACACGAATTTAGAGGCCAGACAGGGTGGATCACGCCTGTAATCCCAGCACTCTGTGAGGCTGAAGTGGGGGAATGGCTTGAGCTTAGAAGCTTCAGACCAGCCTGGGCAACATGGTGAAACCCTGTCTCTAACAATAAATAAATAAATAAATAAAAATAAGCCATGTATGGTGGTGCATGCTACTAGTCCCAGCTACTCAGGAGGCTGAGGTGGGAGGATTGTGGGGCCAAGGAGGTCAAGTATGGAGTGGGCCAAGATCATGCCACTGCAATCCAGCTTGGGTAATGGAGTGAGACCTTATATCAAGAAAAAGAAAAAGATTTAAAGGACAGGCTGACTTTCTTGTTACAAGCCAATGCTCATTTGCTATTCCATAAATCCTAGGGCACCTCTTAAGAATTATGCTAAATCTACACTACCCAAGCTCTATAAATGGAACAACAACACTTGGATGATATCAGAGCTGTTTACTGCATGGGTTACTGAGTATTTTAATCCCACTGTTGAGACCTACAGCTCAGAAAAAAAGATTGATTTCAAATACTTCAGCTTTTTGACAGTGTACCTGGTGACTAAAAAGCTCTAATGGAGATGTACAGGGAAATGCATGCTGGTTTCATGCCTGCCAACACAACATCTATTCTGTAGTCCATGGATTGAGGCATCATTTTGACTTTCAAGTCTTATTATTTGAGAAATATATTTCATAAGGCTGTTACTGCCACAGGTCATGATTCCTTTGATGGATCTGGGCAAAGTCAATTCAAAACCTTCTGGAAAGGATTCACTATGATAGATGCCACTAAGAATATTCATGATTCACCAGAGGAGGTAAAAATAGCAGCATTAATAGGAGTCTGGAAGAAGTTGATTCTGACCCTCATAAATGACTTTGAGGGGTTCAAGACCTTAGCAGAGGAAGTAACCACAGTTGTGGTGAAGATAGCAAGAAAACTAGAATTACAAGTGGAGCCTGAAGATGTGAGTGAATTGCTGCAATCTTTTTTTTTTTTTTTTTTTTTTGAGATGGAGTTTTGCTTTGTTGTCCAGGCTGGAGTGCAATGGTGCAATCTCTGCTCACCACAACCTCCGCCTCCTGGGTTCAATTGATTCTCCTGCCTCAGCCTCCTGAGTAGCTGGCATTATAGGCATGTGCCACTGCATCCGGCTAATTTTGTATTTTTAGTAGACAAGGAGTTTCACCATGTTGGTTAGGGTGGTCTCAAACTCCCAACTGCAGATAATCCATCTGCCTCAGCCTCCCAAAGTGCTGGGATTACAGGCATAAACCACCGCACCCGGCCAAATTGCTGCAATCTTAATGGAAATAAATGGAATTAGATGGAAAAAAGTTTAGTCTGGGGCTCAGAATCGGCTCTCCCTTTACTACGACATTCGCGTGCAGCGCACCAAGGAATCAGAGAATTCTACACTCGACTTTGACCTTGTGGGTTATTATGGCAATACATTTATCATAATATACTGTGAATATTTATCAAAGTAGGAGAATAGAACATATTTAACTATTTGTTAGCTTCATTTATAACTCATAATTATTTAGACATAATGCAAATGTGGGCTGGAATTCATGTTCTGATTTTTTGTGGCCTTGAGCTAAGGAAAAGGGACCCAGGGAAATGGGCTTTATATGCTTGGATGGCTTCATGGAATCCCCAACTTCCTTAGCTTCTGTGACAACTCAAGATTGTTACTAAAATCCACTTTGTATTATCTTTAAAAACCAAGGGATATCATTTCTGCTTATATAATATATAATATTATAATACATATTATATTATGATAAAATATATAATATAATATAATTAATATAATAATATACAATATATAATATTATATAATATAATTAATATAATAATATGCAATATATAATATTATATATTATTATATAATGTTATATAATATATAATTTATATTATATAATAATACATATATAATATATATAAAATAATATATTATTGTTGCTTGTTATGAATGAGGAAAGAAAGTGGTTTCTTGCGATGGAATCTACTCCTGGTGAAAATGCTGTGAACATTGTGGAAAGAACAACAAAGGACTTAGAATATCCCATAAACTTAGTTGATAAAAGAGTGGCAGGGTTTGAGAGAATTGGTTCCAATTTTGATATAAATTCTACTGTAGGTAAAATGCTACCAAACTGCGTAGCATGCTACAGTGAAATCTTTTCTGAAAGGAAGAATCAGTCAATGCGGTAAACTTCATTGTCATCTTATTTTAAGAAATTGCCACTCCCTCTCCAGCCCTCAGCAACCACCACCTCGATCCGTCACTAGCTATCAACATTGAGACAAGACCATCCAGCAGCAAAATGATAATGACTTACTGAAGGCCCAGATGATGGTTAGCATTTTTTGGCAATCATGTATTTTCAAAGTAAGGTATATACATTATATTTTAGACATAATGCTATTGCACACTTAATTGACTACAGTAACTTAAACATAACTTTTTTTTTGAGATGGAGTCTGGCTCTGTTGCCCAGGTTGGAGTGCAGTGGTGCAATCTTGGCTCATTGCAAACTCTGCCTCCCAGGTTCAAACAATTCTCCTGCCTCAGCCTCCTGAGTAGCTGGGACTACAGGTGCGCACCACCATTTTTGTATTTCCGGTAGACACAGGGTTTCGCCATGTTGGCCAGGCTGGTCTTGAACTTCTGACCTCAGGTGATGCACCCACCTCGGCCTCCCAGTGTGCTGGGATTACAGGCGTGAGCCACCATGCCTGGCAACATAACATTTATATGCACCAGAAAGCAAAAAATTTCGTGTGACTTGCAAAAAATTTCGTGTGACTTGCGCTGTTGTGACATTCACCTTATTGTGTTACCTAGAACCAAACCTGCAATATCTCCAAGGTGTGCCTGTATCCCTAGAAGCAGAGCTGGAGTAAGGACTTCGGTGTGGGTGGTTTATTTGGAAAGTGATTCCAAGAAGCAAGAGTCAGAAGTGGGAAGAGTGAGCCAGGCAAGAAAGAAAAGCCAAAATAATGGCATGCTATTGAGGCTCCTGCCGTGCAGTTTTTTCTGCAGGACCTTCCGAGAGGCTCCAGAAAGTTATCCAGAAATGTCCACCTGAAACATGAGCCTGGAGCATTTGTCCACCTGTCCCACACTGGTTGAGGTCTTCCCCTGAGGCTGTTAACCTGCAAGTGTTTCTGGGCTGTATTTGTGCTCAGGCAAAATCCTACAATAATGGAGATTCCCTAGGGCAGAAAGTGTACCTTGAGTTTGCTGGCAGCACAAGAGAAGCCTGTGCTTCCATGGAACTTCTCACGGTGGCTGAGACTGAATGAAAGGTGAGCTGAGAAAACATGACGCAGGCGCCATTTAACTAAGCAATCATAGCCATCGATCTGGGCAAGAGGACCCCTGCCCTGAATCCTGCACTTGAGAAGGTGCCTCTCTGGCCCTCCACTGACTGTACCCTTGCCCACTCAGAGCTTCACCCTCTCTTCTAGGGCACACGCTGGGCACTCAGGGACCTGGCGAAATGTGCCTGAGCCTGCATGGCCTCTTCCCTGGGTCCATTTCAAAGTGCAAACTGTGCTTGTCCAAATGGTGCCCAAGGATCTGCTTTCTGAAGGGGTGAGAATTGTGGATGGAGCTTGCATGGGGCCTAGGGAGTTCCCCACACAAGGGTATGCAAAGCTTCTCAAGTGAGGACAGGGCTACCTACGATGAAAGAAAAAAGTTTAGCCTGGGGCTGATGATCGGCTCTCCCTTTACTACCACATTCCTGTGCAGAGCACCAAGAAATCAGAGAATTCTACACTCAACTTTGACCTTGTGGGTTATTATGGCAGTATATTTATCGAAATAGGAGAATAGAACATATTTAACTATTTGTTAGCTTCATTTATAACTCATAATTATTTAGACATAATGCAAATGTGGGCTGGAATTTACGTTCTGATTTTTTGTGGCCTTGAGCTAAGGAAAAGGGACCCAAGGAAATGGGCTTTATATGCTTGGATGGCTTTGTGGAATCCCCAGCTTCATTAGCTTCTGTGGTGACTCAAGATTGTTACTAAAATCCACTTTGTATTATCTTTAAAAACCAAGGAATATTATGTAGATCAGTAGTTAGAAGGTACTTGACTCAAAATATGTATGAACCAAAGGATATAAATGACTAAAAGCAGGAGGATTATTACCTGAAGTGGTGGAGGGTTGATCTCAGGATATGACCTGTGAGATCCTTCCTGCTGGCTCAGTGCTGGCTGAACGGGGGGCAGGAGAGCACCAGGAACAACACACATCTGGGACAGGAGGGAATGCGGGGAGGAAGGAAAGAGAAATAGGCCTTTTTATTTTTATTGATACATGACAATTATACATATTTGTAGGGTACATGTGATATTTTGATACATGCATACAATGTGTAGTGATCAAATCAGGATAATTTGCATATCCATCACCTCAAACATTTATCATTTATTTGTGTTGAGAACATTCCACATCTTTCTTCTAGTCATTTTGAAATATATAAGTTATTGTTAATGATCATCACCCTACTGTGCTATTGAACACTAGAAATTTTTCTGTTCCTTCCATCTAACTGTATTTTTGTGCCCATTAACCAACTTCTGGGAAGGGCAAAAGAGTGGGTGGATGAAAAGGGCCCTATTTAAGGAAAAGTAAATCTTACAAGAAGGGAAGACATCTTAGGAGGAAAAATAAAAAGGTGGACCATGGGCTTAGAGTAGGGACTGCAGAAATTGAATGGCAAAGAAAAAACCAACTTAGCAATGTGAAAATACATCTCAATGTCATTCTTTTCACAGGTCCAGTGTCTGATTCTTTTGGGAAGCTGGATATGAAGTCAGAATCTTTCTTTGAGTCATACATTTTCATGATTATGATTATTATTGAATGATAGCTGACAATTATTGAGAGCAATTATTGAGGACAATTATTGAGCTTTCACAAGCCCTTTTCAAAGGTCTTTACATATATTTTCTCCACTTCTAACTGTTAGATATTCTTATTATTCCCATTTTGTAGATGAGGGATACACAGGCATAAAGCCTATGTGGAGGCAGAGAGCAGCTACGTAACCTGACCATGGCCCAACAGCAAACAAATGATGGAGCCACATGCAAATCCAGGAAGAACCCTTCTATTATATGAAGCTCAATGTTTTCTTGTTTGCAGCTTGTTATGAATACATCTATTTGCAAATGGGTTTTGAAGCTACTTTAAAACATTTTGTGGCTGTGCGTGGTGGCTGGCACCTGTAATCCCAGCATTATGGGAGACCAAGGTGGGCAGATTGCCTGAGCTCAGGAGTTTGAGACCAACCTGGCCAACATGGTGAAACCCTGTGCCTACTAAAAATACAAAAAAATTAGCCAGGCATGTTGGTGTGCACCTGTAATCCCAGCTACTCTGGAGGGTGAGGCAGGAGAATCACTTGAACCCAGGAGAGGAAGGTTGCAGTAAGCTGAGATCATGCCACTGAACTCCAGCCTGGGCAACAGAGTGAGATTCTGTCTCCAAATAAAAAATAAATAAGATTGAATTTTGAGCTCCTGACCATGTCCCTAGATTGTACTCATATGTATTTTGATGTCTAATAAGATTTATTCTCAGTGCATTTTTTAAGTGAAAGTATTTATTGAGCATCTACTGTATATCATGTGCTGAGATAGGCACCAGTGGTGCAGGGAACATATGGCACAGTCTCTGACCTCAGGTAACTTTCACTCTCATACATATGTATTAGGACACCAACACATGTGTGAATATAAGATAGTATGATAGATATTGCAACAGGTAATTATTTACTGTAAACCTATTTTATAGGATTTTAAACGTAAACTACTTTCACCCTATTTCCAAAAAAGAGTATTGCATAACTTTAAATAGATTCTCAGTTTGAAATCATCATACAAACTGCAGTAGCATCTCCTGGTGAAATACTGCTTTGTATCTATTAGAATAGTCCAAACAATTGGGAGACAACAGCATTATTAGAGCTGTAAAAGTTATTGTCTAGAAATCTCAGAGAAGAAGAGGAAGTTCTATGGTAGATGAATAAGATGACATCTAAACTGTTCTCTTCAGCTACTGAAGTTCTGTGGATATCTCACAGCACAAAGTTCAAGTGTATGCCCACAGCTCCTCATGCCACAAGATGTGACACCTTTCCAATCTCTTTTTGCAAAAGTTTCCAATTATGTCTCTTTTAAGAGTACTTTTTATACCCACATATTCCGGATTTTGTGGTGCATGCAAAGACAAGATGGGAAGGGGCTTCCATTTATTGATGCCAGCTGCTCCATGGACCAGGCCCTGCCCATGCATCCATGTTGGTTCTTTTATCCCCACATCAGCCATAGCCCATAGGCATTAACTGCCATTGCACAGATGAGGAAATTGAAAGTCTAAGAGAATATGCAATCTACCCAGAGTCATGCAGCTTGTGTATGTAAGTGTTGGAATGAAAATCCAATCTGTGTGAGTCCCAAGTCCCCTTCCACCATATGGTTTCCATTTCATTTTGCAATCAGCTTGGCTGGGATATGTCTGCCCTAAAAGATAGTAAGTAGGAATATTTGTCTCTATACCTTAACCTGACATCCATGGGCTTGCTTTTTGTATTTGGAGGTATCATAACATTATAATAATAATTTGATTTTATTTGTACAGTGGATATTATACTACTCACTCTAGAGATTTATGACATCCCAGTCTAAACTGGATGATAGCAATGAAGCTTCTTCAAGGAGACAAGTATGAGTAATAAGGTAGTAATAAGCTGAATTTCTATGGAGTTGCTACTTCTGAATTAAAACTAGTTGAGATTAAGTAGATATTCAAAAATATTGCTATAATCTTCACTTGAATAATAAAAACATTTATTATTTTTACATATTTATTTATTTATGGAACATAGATGTAATTTTAAAACAGAATATTTGCAAATTGTATTAAAATATATTAAAAACATAATACATTATCACCCAATAGAGTTTTTCAAAGTAACTCAGTGTTAGTTTAAAACGTGAAATTCAATCAACATAATTCACCATAGAATACAGTGTGTATGTCAGTATAATATATATATCAAAATTGGAAAGCAGTAAATTTATCTTTGTTTTGTAATAAGATGAAATTAAAATTTTAATGAATTTCAACTTTCATTTTAGATTTCGGAGGGTACCTTTGCAGGTTTATTACATGGGTGTATTGTGTGATGCTGAGATTTGGGGTATGAATGAAGGTGTGAGTGCCTGTTTTGAACTTGCACCAAGAGCAATCTCCCCTGATCAGCAGAGGGTAAACTAACTTGAATTACACTTGAATTTTTTAGTAGAGCAGGTCACAAAGGGCAAATTGTAGTCCAGAGACAAAAGTGCTCAGTGGTCTAAAATGAGCCTGCCATATCACTGAGGGTACAGGTCTTCACAGAAATATATTTCAGAAAGAGGTCAAACCCTTGTTTAAAGATAAATGTAAGCTGGGTGTGGAGGCACACGTCTATAATTCCAGCTACTCAGGAGGCTGAGGCAGGAGGATCCCTTGAGTTCAGGAGTTTAAGACCAGCCTGGACAACATAGGAAGATCCCATCTCAATTTTTTAAAATGAGAAAAAAATAGATAAACTTAAGCATATTAAAATTTTAAAGAGTTTATTTAAGCAAACAGAGATTCATGGATCAGGCAGCTCCAAACTGAAAGTGGTTGGAGGATCTACTGGAGGTGTTTGTAAGGAAGGCTTTTACAGGGTGAATATAGAAGTAAAGTAGAGAAATTATTTGATTGGCAAAAATGTGGGCAGTTGCATTATTTGAACTATCCTGGTGGTAGGTCTCTCATTACGCAGCTAATACTCAGCGGGCCACTTGTGGGTGGGCTAAGCTTGTTTCATTTTGTCTATGCAGGAACCCTGGCCATGGGAGCTATCTCAGCCTAATGCTCTCCCATTACAAAATTTTACACCTTCTTTCTGTATCAGGGTAAGTGGGGATCTTCCCCAGGAGGGTTCTTACCACCCTGTTTCCCTCAGCAAAATGAAACTGTCCCTTTTGCCTCTGTAGGCAATCTTCTGAACAAGGCATTCCTAATATTCTTATCTCATCTTATTTTATCTTATCCTCTTCTCTGTACCTTGTTTACATGCTTCTGGAACACTTGTGTGTCTTGCACCCATCTCCTGCATTATTTAGGCAATCCTAACAGAAGGCCGCTAGGATGGATTGGAAGAGAACTGCTGGCATATTGAGCCCTCTCTCTTTGTATCTGGAACTTTCATAATTACCTTAGTTCTCCATGCCAATTTTGCACTTATCTTTGTTCTCCACTTCAAAATACATTTACCTCTGACAGCAGCTGAGTTCATAAAAGGGACCTTGTCCAGTGGCACTTATGAGGCAGGAGACATGATATAGTTAAAATTATAAACTATAATCACTATATAGTTATATATTATATATAATCACTATATCACTCCAGGGTTGAAGTGATACTCCTGCCTCAGCCTCCTGAGTAGCTGGGATTACAGGCATGTGCCACCACACTCGAATAATCATATATGTTTTAAAATAGGAATAGATTTTCTCAGCTAAACGGAAGGGAAATGCTAAGGAAAGAGTGAGATTTGACTTGATAATTATGTTTCTGAATGAATCAGCCAATTAATAAAATGAAAACAGGCCAGGACAGTGGTGCATGCCAGTCATCCCAGCAATTTGGGAGGCCAAGGTGGGCAGATCACTTGAGTCCAAGAGTTTAAGACAAGCCTGAGCAACATATCAAAACCCTGTCTCTACAAAAAATACAAAAATTAGCCAGGTGTGGTGGCTCATGCCTGTAGTCCCTGCTACTTGGGAGGCTGAGGTAGGAGGATCACCTGAGCCTGGAGATGTAGAGGCTGCAGTGAGCTGTGATCATGCCACTGCACTTCCAGCCTGGGTGACACAGTGAGACCCTGTCCCAAAGAAACTAAACTAAAATGAAATGAAAACAAACACAAGACAAAAATTGATGGACTTATTTTAACACTTAGCATGATGAACACACATAGATAACAATACTAACCCAATGGGTTTTTGTCAGTCAAACTCATGGTCACTAGTCTAAAGAAAATAGGAATAATGACTGTGAATTAACATCCATTTACAACATTAGAAATACAAAATACAAATTATCATCAGATATATCAGACTCACAATTATTTGACCTTTTAAGAATTCATCCTGCTCTCCATAATGAATAAGAAAATACTGATAACTCTTTTTTCCCTTAACTTAATCCTTTGTGCTCCTGAATCTCTGAATTTGTGTTTACATCTTAACACTCTTTTTTTGTAATTATTTTCTGCAGCTTTTTTCTCTTCACTTGAGGCATCTCCTATATTCTCTTTACACTTTTCCACAAATGACTCAATTTTTTTCGTAAGCTTCATTGATGAGTTCCATGTATGTGATGATAGTGTAATGATAAATTATCCATGTGGTTTCCCTCCAGTCTTGTTCATTATTCAAGTGACTCTCCTTGGTTTAGCAACAGGCTAGGAGGTAACTATGACATTTTGTTCAGGTTAAGCAAGAAGAAGAAAACAAAATCTACATTCTCTTTTTTATATTTTAAACACAAGCCAACAAATAATTTGGAAAGACCCATGATTAGACAGGGAGGATTTTATGCTCCTTCAAGAGTAATTGAGATTGTTTAATTGTATGGAGGAATGAGCATATCTCAAGGGGAATCAAGAAGGTATAATATTTGGATGACAGAATCATTAAGAACTGGCTTTGCACCCTGGCTACACCATTGCACATAGGACATATTAAGGTGCAGGGGTGCATGCCTGTAATCCCAGCACTTTAAGAGGCTGAGGCAGGTGGATCACCTGAGGTCAGGAGTTCAAGACCAGCCTGACAAACGTGGTGAAACCCCATCTCTACTAAATACAAAAAATTAGCTGGGTGTGGTGGCACATGCTTCTAATCCCAGCTACTTGGGAGGCTGAGGCAGGAGAATCACTTGAACTTGGGAGGCGGAGGTTGCAGTGAGCTGAGATAGTGTCATTGCACTCCAGCCTGGGCAACAAGAGCGAAATTCTGTCTCAAAAAAAAAAAAAAAAAATCACTGCCCCACCAACTTTTTCACATAGGATGATTAAGGATTCCAGAGCCCATGCTACCTCTAGGGGCTCCTACCCCTGCCACACCACACATATATCTTGACAGGGCCTGTTATAGAGAAGAAAAGGCCCAGTAAATTAATATCACAATCATTGCCACATACCCACCAAAAGACTCAGATTAAAATTTTGATGAAATTAAGTGTCAAGAAGAATGTGAAGATTTGGGAATTATCAGACATTGTAAGACTGTCAGTTGGTGTGTTAACATTGGGATGAAACCCATAATAACCGGTAAAACTGAAGATATGTTTACCCTGTAACCTATGATTTCACCTCTTGGTTTATACTGTACATAAATACACACTAATGGTAACCAAATAGAAATACAAACATGTCCACAACAGCATCATTTGTAACTGACAAAAATGAACACAACCCACATGTCCACCAACAATGAAGGGATACACACTGGTGTACTGTAGTTTTATTTATTTTTATTTTTTATATTTATTTTATGTATATAAATGTAAATTTATATATATTTTTTGAGACAGAATCTTGCTTAGTCGCCCAGGTTGGAGTGCAGTGGTGCGATCTCGGCTCACTGTAACCTCCGCCCCCTGGGTTCAAGCAATTCTCCTGTCTCAGCCTCCCCAGTAGGTGGGATTACAGCCATGTGCCGCCACTCCTGGTAAATTGTTGTATTTCTAGTAGAGATGGGGTTTCACCTTGTTGGTAAGGCTGGTCTCAAACTCCTGTCCTGAGGTGATCCACCTATCTCGGACTCCCAAAGTGCTGGGATTACAGGTGGCAGGCACTGCGCTTGGGCTTTTTTTTTTTTTTGAGACTATCACTCTATTGCCCAGGTTGGAGTACAGGGCGTGATCTTGGCTCACTGCAACCTCTATCACCTCCCAGGTTCAACTGATTCTCCTGCCTTAGCCTCTCAAATAATTGGGATTACGGGCACACAACACCACACCTGGCTAAATTTTTTTTTTTTTTAACAGAGTCTAATTCTGTCACCCAGGCTGGAGTGCAGTGGTGCAAACTTGGCTCACTGCAACCTCTGCCTCCCAGATTCAAGTGATTTTCCAGCCTCAGCCTCCTGAGTAGCTGAGACTACAGGCATGTGCCACCACACTTGGCTAATTTTTTCTGTTTTTAGTAGAGATGTGGTTTCACCGTGTTCGCCAGGATTGTCTCCATCTCCTGACCTCATGACCCACCTGCCTTGGCCTCCCAAAGTGCTGAGATTACAGGCATTAGCCACCACGTGCCCTAATTTTTGTAGTTTTAATAGAGATGGAGTTTCACCATGTTGGCTAGGGTGGTCTGGAACTCCTGACCTCTAGTGATCTGCCTGCCTCGGCCTCCCAAAGTGCTGGGATTATAGGCGTGAGCCATCATGCCTGGCTGGTGTACTGTTTCAATAGAATGCAGAAACAATGCTAAGTGTGAATCTTAAATACTTAGTATTGAGTAAAAGGCACCAGATGCACCAGGATACAGACTTTTACTCCAATTATGTAAGAGAAAAACCAGGCAAAATCAGACTTTACTTTAGGAATATAAAAAATGCATAATAAGGCCAGGCATTGAGGTCAGGAGTTCTAAACCAGCCTGACCAACATGCAAAACCCCATCTCTACTACAAATACAAAAATTATCCAGGCATGGTGGCACATGGCCCATGCCTGTAATCCCAGCCACTTGGGAGGTTGAGTCATGAGAATCGCTTGAATCTGGGAGGCGGAGGTTGCAGTGAGTCAAGATCATGCCACTACACTCCAGCCTGGGTGACAGAGCGAGGCTCCATCTCCAAAACGAAAAAAATATATAAAATACATAATAAAATTATAAAGAGAACCAAGGAGAGGATGGCAGATAACCACAGGTAATGTGGATATCTGTTATATCTGTTACTAATAAGGGGAAGGAAGACTTTAGGATCGGTTAGGGGCATAAGGAGGACTTCTCAGTGGTGATAGTGCTCTATTTCTTCACCTGGATAGGTATCACACAGACGTTTATTTAATAACTGATGTATCCATATCTTTGTCTGCATATTTTAAAATAAGAATGAAATAGAGGAAAGGAAGGTGAATGGAAAGAGATTTCTCCATTCATCAAAATTTTAAAGTCATGTTTTCCCTCAGGTTCTTCTCCAAGCTCAGTCTGAAATGATGAAAGCAGCCAAGCATGGTGGCTCACACCTGTAATCTCAGCATTTTGGGAGGCTGAGGCGGATGGATCACCTGCGGTCAGGAGCTAAGACCAGCCTGGCCAACATGGTAAAACCTCATCTCTACTAAAAATACAAAAATTGGCTGGGCGTGGTGGTGGGCACCTATAATCCCAGCTACTCGGGAGGCTACAGTGAGCTGAAATCACACCACTTGACTCAAAAGAGTGAAACTCTGTCTCAAAACAAAACAACAACAACAATGACAAAGGAAACAGGAAAACATCCTCAATAATAGAGGACTTACCAAATTGGGTGCAGCCACTCATACTGTGTCTTGATTTGTAGATAAAGAAAATGATGACCCTCCCTAGGTACTGATTTAGAGTGACATTTCTGTGAAAATAGAGAAATGCTTACATATCCATAGAACACATATATGCATTTAAAATTGTATACAAGCATGACATATACATACATATTTGTGTGTATGGCATCTGCATCCTTGTATGTTTAAATACGATCTGGCAATTGCATTCTTTGGTATATACCCAAATATTTGAAAACTTATATCCACTCAAATCCTGCACATGAATGTTACAGCAGCTTATACACAACTGACAAAGATTGGAAGTAACCAATATATCCTGCAATAGAGAAATGGATAAACTAACTCTGAAACATTCATACAATGGAATATTCTTCAGGAATAAAAAGAGATGAACTACCAAGGCATGAAAAGACATGGAGGCATCTTAAACATGTATTTCTAAGTGAAAGAAGCCAATACAAAAAGGCCACATAGTATAGAGTTCCAATTATATGGAATACTAGAAAAGGCAAAACTAGGCAGATGGTATTATAAAAAGTTCAGTGGTTGCCAGGGGCTTGAGCAGAGGGAAGGAAGAATAGATGGAGCACAGAAGATTTTTAGGGCAGTGAAACTTTTCTGTGTGACCCTATAATGGTGGATATATGTCCTTAAGCATTTGTCAAAGCCCATGAATGGTAGAACACAGAGAGTGAATCTTAATAATTAGCCATGAACTTAATAATATCAATATTGGCTCATCAAGCATAACAAATTACCACACTAACAAGATGATAATAGAGGAAGTGTGTGTACTATGGTGTGAGGTGGATATTAGAGCTCAATATGCCTTCTGCTCTATTTTTGTGTATACCTACAACTGTTCTAAAAATTAAGTCAGTTATTTATTTATTTATTTATTTTTATTTATTGAGATGGAGTCTCACTCTGTCACCCAGGCTGGAGTGCAATGGCCCAATCTCGGCTCATGGCAACCTCTGCCTCCCGGGTTCAAGCGATTCTCCTGCCTCAGCCTCCTGAGTAGTTGGGATTACAGGCACCAGCCACCACGCTTGGCTAATTTTTTGTATTTTTAGTTGAGACGGGGATTCACTGTGTCAACCAGGATGGTCTTGATCTGCTGACCTCATGATCCTCCTGCCTTGTCCTTCCAAAGTGCTTGGATTACAGGCATGAGCCACCACGCCTGGCCTTATTTATCTTTTTGAGACAGGGTTTAGCTCTGTCACTCAGGCTGGAGTGCAGTGGTGCAATCATGGCTCAATGCAGCCCCAACCTCCAGGGCTCAAGTAACCCTCCCGCTTCAGCCTCCTGAGTAGCTGGGACCACAGGCATGTGCCACCATGCCCAGCACATTTCTTAGACCTCTGAAAAGATGCTCAACACCATATGTCACTAGGGGATTCAAATTAAAACAACGATGTGATACCATTACACATCTCTTAGACTGGCTTGAATGCAAACACCAATACCAAATGCTGGTGAAGATATGGAGTAACAGGAATTCATCTCTATTTCTGCTGAGAATGCAAAGTGGGACAGCCACTGTGGAAGGCAGTTTTGCAAGTTCCTGCCAGACTAAACATATGCTTACCATAAGTTCTGGCAAAAAAATGAAATTTAAAAAAAATATTTTATATACTTGAAACATATACATTTAAATAAATATATATTTTATATATATTTTAAAGTATATGTAGTTTTATTTTTTGTAGAGACAGTCTCTACAGACCATAGCCTGCAGAATCTATTAATTTTACAAGCATTTTAAACTCTTGAACAAGAAATTATTTGAAGAGTGAAAAATAAAATGATAGAGTATTGACTGGTAAATTCCAAATGTTATATATTATATAATTTGGATTAATTTTAAATTCCAAAAAGTGAAACTTTAAAAAATATTTTAAAAATTTCCTAATCCGAGGTCAATCCTGGTTCAACACATTCAAGAGCTGATTTCAGAGGAGAGATAAGTCAACAAGTTCTTAGGTTTTGACTTTGTTTTCCAACTATTTGTGTTTGTGAATGGTGAATTTTTAGATTTTGTTCCTTTCTTCTTAGGGTATTGACTAATATTTTATTAAGCCAGAGAGACAGTAAATTAGAATTATCTGTTTGTCCATTTTATCTGTTATAAGTATTTCCTCCAAATGCACTTATTTAAAGTTTTTGGTTTATTTAGTCAGGTGCAGTGGCTCACGCCTGTAATCTCAGCACTTTTGAAGGCTGAGGTGGGGGATCACTTGAGTTCAGGGGTTCAAGATCAGCCTGGCCAACATGGCAAAACTCGGTGCCTACTACCATACAAAAATTAGTTGGGTGGTGGGTGTTTTGGCTCACTCCTATAATCCTAGCACTTTGAGAGGCCAAGGTGGGCAGATCACCTGAGGTCGGGAGTAAAGAAACAGAGAGCAAAGAATTTCTGAAACCAAACAGTCTGAGAACAGCTGCTCAATATATTCATTCAACAAATATTTGTCTCCTTACCATGTGCATGGTACAGTTCTAGGCTCTAGGGATAAATAGCATTGAACAAAATTGACAATATCTCCTGCTCTCATCAAGTTTACATTCTAGTGGACATAATGTAAGAACAGAGATGATTTGTCAAAAAGCAGTCCGGGCACAGTGGCTCATGCCTGTAATACCAACACTTTGGAAGGCCGAGGCAGGGAGATCACTTGAGGTCAGGGGTTCGATATCAACCTGGCCAATATGGTGAAAACCTGCCTCCACTAAACATACAAAAATTAGCCAGGGCTGGGTGTGGTGGCTCACCCCTGTAATCCCAACACTTTGGGAGTCCGAGGTGGTTTGGATCACCTCAGGTAAGGAGTTCAAGACCAGCCTGGCCAACATGGTGAAACCCCATGTCTACTAAAATACAAAAAAAAAAAAAAAATGTTAGCCAGGCATGGTGGCAGATGCCTGTAATCCCAGCTACTTGGGAGGCTGAGGCAGGAGAATCACTTGAACCTGGGGGGTGGAGGTTGCAGTGAGCCGAGATCACACCAATGCACTCCAGCCTGGGTGACAGAGCAAGACTCCATCTCAAAAAAAAAAAAATGTTTTAAGTGCTATGGAAAAAAAGGGAAGTGGTAAATAGTTTCAATTTCAGATAGGATGATCTCTGACAAGGCAAGAATCATGTTAAGACATGAAGAAAATTAACACAATGATCCTTACAGGTATATGGAGAGAGAGGTTCTTTTCTTTCCTTTCCTTTTCTGTTTTATTTATTTATTTATTTATTTAGACAGAGTTTCACCCTTGTTGCCCAGGCTGCAGTGCTATGGCACCATCTCAGCTCATTGCAACCCCCACCTCCCAGGTTCAAGTGATTCTCCTGCCTCAGCTGCTCTCCCAAGTGAAAGGTGACCAAGAGAGCCATTGAAAATAGTGAGATTGGCCGGGTGCAGTCCCAGCACTTTAGGAGGCTGAGATGGGTGGATCATGAGGTCAGGCGTTCGAGACCAACCTGGCTGAGAGGGTGAAACCCCGTCTCTACTAAAAATACAAAAATTAGCCAGGCATGGTGGCATGCCTCTGTAATCCCAGCTACTCCGGAGGCTGAGACAGGAGAATCACTTGAATCTGGGAGGTGGAGGTTGCAGTGAGCCCAGATCATGCCACTGCACTCTAGCCTGGGTGACAGAGCAATATTCTGTCTCAAAAAAAAAAAAAAGAAAAGAAAAGAGGAAGAAAATGGTGAGAGCACCATGTTTGAAAAGTGGTCCAGGCACTAGGGTAAGGGGTGAGTGTCAGCCAAGTCATCAGCTATCAGAACAGGAAGCCATCAGGTAATATATCAAGCTGATATATTGAGAAGGAGCTGGATCTACCTATTATATAATATAGAGATAAGCACTCAGATATATAGATTAGAAATAGTTTAGAAAATTTAGACATTTGATTATTCAGGAAGCAGACCTGGGAGGATTGGAGAAACAGGGTGGGGGAGTAGACTGCATGGAAAGCTCTTTCTTAGTTTGTGATTTTTCATTTATGCACATAGGTTTCTTACATAACATGGAAAATTCAATTGAAGAAGAAACAACATTGTGTTCTGAGGTCCCAAAAGTTTAGTGATTAATTAGAAAGACTCACAAAACCGAGTGAAGCTGTTTTACTCATAGTTTATTACAACAAAAAGATACAGATTAAAATCAGCAGCAGAAAAAGGTGCACAGGTCAGAGTCCAGGAGAGACAAATCACAAGCTTCCAGTTGTCCTCTCCAAGTGACATCGTGTGGACAGTGCTTAATTCACCCAGCGATATGTGGCAAACAGTATAGAATATACTCCCCAACAAAAAGCTTACCTGAGCCTTGGTGTTGAGCATTTTACTGGAGGTTGGTCACATGGACAAGAGCACCCATTTGGATGACATTAGTTTCTCTGTCTCCACCCTTCCCAAGGTCAAGCTGACACTGCATGGTCCAAGGTCCCCATAATAAATCACGTTGTTAACTCCCAGATAGGCAGGAGAGTCCAAGGACTTAGAGGTTATTTCCCGGGAACTAGGATAGAGTCACACCATTCTTTGGAGTATGCCAGGTTTGGGCAATTCAGGCCTACTAAGTTTCCTTGACTGCACACAAGTGATAGTATGTAGGAAATGAGTAGTCGCATATATTGCTGGTGAAAGTACAGTGTTATATAACCCTTTGGAAAGAAATCAAGTGTGTAGCACATAAACATTATATTTGGTTTGTTTTTGTTTTTGTCTGAGACAGGGTCTCACTCTGTCACCCACACTGGGGTGCAGTGGCATGATCGCAACTCACTGCAGCCTCAACCTCCCAGGCTCCAGCTATCCTCCCAGCTCAGTCTCCTGAGTAGCTGGGACCACAGGCACCTGCAAGTACACCCAGCTAATTTTTGTGTTTTTTGTACAGATAGGGTTTCACCATGTTGCCCAGGCTGATTTCAAACTCCTGGGTTCAAACAATCCCCTACCTCAGCTCCCCAAAGTGCTAGGATGACAGGAGTGAGAGCCACTGCACCCAACCTATATTTGTATATACATTAAATTGTATATGTTAGGCCGGGCACGATGGCTCACGCCTGTAATTCCAGCATTTTGGGAGGCCAAGGTGGGCGGATCACTTGAGGTCAGGAGTTCGAGAGCAGCCTGACCAACATGGTAAAAACCCATCTCCACTAAAAAAACAAAGTTAGCTGGACATGGTGGCAGATGCCTGTATTCCCAGCTACTCAGGAGGCTGAGGCAGGAGAACCAAGCAGTGCAAGTTGCAGTGAGCCGAGATCATGTCACCGCACTCCAGCCTGGATGAGAGAGCAAAACTCCATCTCAAAAAACAAAACAAAAATTGTATATGTTATTGTATGTATGTGTATATAGTAAGTTGTATATACCCATATTAAATATATATACATATATTACACTTTACACACATACACTTGTTTCCTCATGCAATTTGTTTCAGCAGAAGTAAAAACTAACAAAGTTATAAGTAAAAGAATATTTACAGAAGCACTATTTTGGTGGCAAAAGTACTTTAATATCTTAAATGCTCATATAATGAAAGATACTTTAACTCTTACAAAGAATGAGTTAGCATTTTATCTACTATAAAGGTATCCTAATATCTTTATACCTAAAGTGATATATGTGGCCAATTGTTATATTTAAAAAGGAGAATGCTTTATAATTAAAGAAAAAAGAAAGAAACGTTATATAATAGCCCTCCCTTATCTGCAGGAGATGTGTTTTAAGACCCGCAGTGGATGCCTGAAACTTGGGTAGCATTGACCCAATTGCTTTCAATCAGAACATATTTCTGTTTGATTTCCACTCACAAATTTAATGACTTTTTCATCTTAACTAAGCATTTATCACACATGTGACTGTACTTTTTAGAGCTTGGGGTGCAACAAACAAGACTAAGCGAAATTTCTTTCCCTTCTTACATTTTCACTGCTAGAGGATTTGTTCTTACCATCCATCTTAGCAACCTGAGCACACGACTTCTCTCTTTTTCTTTCTTTCTTCCTTTCTTTCTCTTTCTTTCTTTCTTCTTTCTTGCTTTTTCTTTCCTTCATCTTTCTTTTTTTCTCTTTATTTTATGTATTTACTTATTTATTGAGATGGAATCTCAGTCTGTCATCCAGGTTGGAGGGCAGTAATGTGATATTGGCTCACTGCAAACTTCTCCTCCTGGGTTCAAGAGATTCTCATTCCTCCTCCTCCCAAGTAGCTGGGATTAAGGCCCTCACCACCGTGCCCAAATAATTTTTGTATTTTTTTGTAGCGATGGGGTTTCACCATGTTGACCAGGTTAGTCTCGAACTCCTAACCTCAAAAGATCCACCCGCTTCAGTCTCCCAAAGTGCTGGGATTACAGGCATGAGCCACCACGCCTGGTCTGTATATTCTGTTTTGTGCTGGCCAATACTTACTTGAGTCTTGGAGAACATCATGGAAAGATGCTCATCATCTTGTTAACTGGTTATTTCAAGAGTGGAACTGGAGGGGGAATACGGCCTTTCCTGTGTATTTATTTGTAATGTTTCATTTTCATTATGAACATGTATTATTTTAATATGTTTAAATATTAATAAAGACAGGTAAATATATGTAATTTTAATTCAAGCTGAAATCCTCAAGGCAATCACATATAATTAAATAGATGGAGGAAAGAAAACATTTAAAATCCCTGAAGGAAAAGGAGGGAAGTCCGGGCAAGGAGGCTCATGCCTATGTCAGCATTTTGGGAGGCCAAAGCAGGGGGATTACTTGGGGTCAGAAGTTCGAGACCAGTTTAGCCAACATGGTGAAACCCTGTCTCTACTGAAAATACAAAAATTAGCCAGGCATGATGGCATGCGCCTGTAATCCCAGCTACTTGGAAGGTTGAGGCGGGAGAATCGCTTGAACCCGGGAGGCAGAGGTTGCAATGAACCAAGATTGTGACACTGTGGTTCAGCCTGGGTGACACAGCGAGACTCTGTGTCAATCAATCAATAAAAGGAGGGGGGAAAACACAAGTAAAAAATAAGTGATTCAAAAGTAGCAATGCACCATAATGCCTAAATTTGTAGGATTGGCGGGGTGTGATGGCTCCCACCTGTAATCCCAGCACTTTGAGAGGCCAAGGTGGGTCGATCACCTGGTCAGGAGCTCGAGACCAGCCTGACCAATATTGTGAAACCCTGCCTCTACCAAAAATAAAAAATTTAGCAAGGTGTGGTGGCGGAAACCTGTAGTCCCAGCTACTAGGGAGGCTGAAACTGGAGAATCACTTGAACCTGGGAATCAGAGGTTGCAGTGAGCTGAGATTGCCCCACTGCACTCCAGCCTGGGTGACAGAGCAAGACTCCTTCCAAATAAATAAATAAATAAATGAATAAATAAATAAATAAATAAATAAATAAATAAAAACACTTTGTGGGACCAATTCCAATTGAGTCCAGGGGAGCACACACTGGAGACCAACATCCCCCCTCAGGTCCCTTCAGGGTCGAGAGAATGCATCTGGAACAGACTGGGAAACTCCAGCAGGCAAAGTAAGGTGCCAGGAATAGACACCACCTGACACATTCTCCATGTTCCCTCCACCCACCCCTCTCTCCACCGGTCTTCCATCGGGCTCCAATTCTGCACTCTCCCCAAGAACCTCAGATTGAAACATTGCAAGGAAGACACCGATACTCAAAGTCACAGGCTTAGGAATCTGAGCTACAAAGAAAAATGAGTCCCTGCTCCCCCAACTGCATGGTACTCCCCTCAGCACTGCTGCCCTGCACCTGCCCCCTCCTCCATAATTTGAACTGTCCTCACAGAAGCTGGAGAGATGGCCCGCCTGTCAGGAAAGAGAGGACCAGCATGTGGCAAATGCCTGGGATATGTAGGAGCAGATGGTGAGATTAGCACAAGGATGTAAGAAACAAGTGGCTCTCAGACCAAAGAAGACTCTGCGGGAGACGGCACATTAAGCCTTCATAAGTGCGTGCGCTGGACAGCAGCTCCCCAGTTACCGAAACAATTATCTGAGAAAGGCTCTGAGCTGACCCGAAACGCCCTTGGATCCCATGGCAACGCCTCAGCGTCTGGCGGTAATAGGCTTCTGTGCCCAGAATCTCTAGGTCTGGAGGTTCCAACTCCACCAGCCTCTCACAGCTGTGGTACCTCCCATTGGCGCCTGATGGGTTAGGGAGGCTGTTCTTCCAGCTGTGACAGATCCAGCCTTGGAGCGCTCCTGGGTCTTCTTAGTTGTTTCTTCCCGCACACCTGCCACTCGAAGCCACAACCCACTTGCACGCCACCTTGAGGACACCTTAAAATGACCATCTAGTTCTGAACCTCGCTGAGGGAATGGTCAGTTTTACTCCCATTAGATGGCTTGGCCCAAAGGACCTAGCGACCACCCAGACAGAAATTTCTTCCTAAAAGCTGCATGTGTCTGTGGTCTCTAAGAGGCAAAACTAAACCCTAAAGAAAAAGCTAACCCACCCCCACCTCCACCGCAAAACGAAAACAAAAACAAAACCCACCGCCAACCCACCTTTTATGTGAGGAGTCCTTGAGAAGGGCCTCCCCAGCCAGGACAAGGCAAGGGAATCTGTGCACTTGGCCAGACCCAGAACACACAGTGTCAGGGACCTGACAGTCACACTCTGACCCCATAGAATTTCCACGACTGACACACAGATCAGGATGTGTCAGCCTGAGAGATGACTCCACAAATCTGGCTTTCACAGATTGATTAAACACACATCCCATCACTGACACCAGATTCCCTCATCACTGACCCTACATACCCACAATCATTGATTCCATGGACTTCATCACTATCCCAAAGACCACCCATCACTAATCTACAGATCGTCATCTCTCACCCCAGGGAACTCACAGATTCCCCATCCCTGATTCCAGGATCTATAGAACCTCATCTCTTACCCCCACAGACCTATTAATAAAAGGATACATTCATAGGAGACTGTGTTGACCATTTTACACACCCATTGCCTGTGTGTGCTGATTAATGGACTTAGGTAAACTTTAGCATTTTGGTAGGCAATGCAATTTTTCAATGCCTTTTCTTTCTTTCTCTTGTACATCTTTAAAGGCCTTACTCCAGTAAATGTGCATTGCAGTTTATTAATGCCTATCCCTTATTGAGTCCTTGTCATGCATATTTGTTATTAATCATAATTCACAATTCTTATAATTCAGAGACACCAGAGATTCACATAAGAAGAATGGCTTTGGGTTTTTATTTATTTATTTGTTTTTGTTTCTGTAGATTATCAAATTCATTCATTTGTATCAACTCACTAAGTCTATACTTTGTTTTCTAAAAAAAAAAAATTCCAATCAGTTTTTTTTTTAAGACAGACTATCGCTCTGTCACCCAGGCTGGAGTGCAGTGGTATAATCATGGCCACTGTAGCCTCAACCTCCTGGGCTCAAGTGATCCTCCCTCAGCCTATGTAGTAAGCTGAGACCACAGGCATGCACCAATATGCCCACCTAATTAAAATTTTTTTTGTAGATAATGTGTGTCTCACTATGTTGCAGAGACTGGTCTTGAACTCCTGGGCTTAACTGATCCTCCAACCTTGGCCTCCCAAAGTGTTGAGATTACAGGTGTGAGCCACTGTACTCAGCTGATAAAATCTTAAAAAGAGGAAAATACTTTGGGGCCTAAGGTAAAATTTCCACTGAGATGATGCGTCGGAAATTAAGGTAGAATAAGATGGCCCTAGGGCATCAAAACAACAGAAACTAAATCTTGGGCTGGGTGCGGTGGCTCATGCCTGTAATCCCAGCAATTTTGGAAACCAAGGTGTGGGACTCACTTGAGATCAGAAGTTTGAGACCAGTCTAGCCACCATGGTGAAACGCTGTCTCTACTAAAAATACAAAAATTATCCTGGAGGTTGCACTGAGCCATGATTGTGCCAATGCACTCCATTCTGGGCAACAGAGGGAGATTCTGTCTCAAAAAAAAAAAAAAAATAGAAGAAGAAGAAACAAAATCTTAATTTCTTCATCAAATGTAAAAACTATGGACTGGACTCTGGAGGAATAATAAACAAAAAGACACATAGGCACTTTTTTTTTGAAGTTTTATTGAGAAATATTGATAACATACCACAGAAGCCACTGATTTAAAGTGTAAAATTCAGTGGTTTTCAGTATATTTGCACTGTTATGCAAACATCACCACAATAAATTTTAGATCATTTTCATTACCCTGAAGTAAATACCATATCCCTCCATTTCCCCCCAACTCCCCTAACCCTGGGCCACCACAAATCTACTTTCTGCTTCTATGTATTGGTCTATTTTGGACATTTTATTTAAATGGAATTACATAACATGTGGTCCTTTGTGACTGGCTTCTTTCACTTAGCATAATATTTTCAAGGTTTATTCAATCTTGCATGTGCAAAGGGGTCACTTTACATAAGGATAAACCTGGGGTGGGGGGTACTTACTGATTGATTTGGAAACTTCCCTCCAAAATTGTAAAGGGTTTCAAATAGAGGAAAAACCTATTCAGGCTAAAATCCTGTTTTCAGCAGTTTGTAATGTGGGGTTTTATTGCAAAGAATGGCAACATTTTTAGGCTTATTTTCTGAAAATTCTCCCTGTGTTTGGGGAACAGTCACAGAATGTGGAGGAATGGGCTTCTAGGCTCTGTGGCTGGAGATTCGCGTCCAGGAGAACTCAGGTCCCAGGGTAGGCAGAGAAAAACAGTGTAAGAGTGCCAACAGAATGCTTTGAAATGGAAAATTTTAAATGTTCCCTCCAAAAGGAGTCCCAGATAACCACACAAAAGAGGACTTTGCTGGGCAGGTCCATTGCAATTGTTCAATAACAAGACACAGACAGACTGGGCAAGAAGGAAGTTTATTTCCGCAGCCACTTACAGGGAGAAGCACCAGGTAATTCACCAGATCAATTCAAAGTTACAAGTTTTTTTTTTTTTTTTCTAGTGCTTATATACATCTTAAGCTCCACGTGGGATTGCACCTACAAGCAGGAGTGTTTCATTCAATCAACATCTAATCTTTAACTCGGGTCTAGCATCTGGAAAGATTTCTCTAGAGTCTTGGAAAGTTTCTGAATCCTAAGACAGGCCGAGGTGAATGTGTACCAATGCTATCATTATTCGATCAGACTTTAGGGTCTGAGAAAACCCAGGTGGGGTCTCAATGGGTTTGTTTTCACATTCCATCCCTGATACTCAGGCACAAGTTTCTCCATTTCTTTAACTTTAACTTATGCATTCATCAAAATTATAGTAAAGGGTTAGTAGAAACTGTTCTGGTTGCTATTGGAAACCTGGCCTGCCACACTGCCATAGGAACTGAAGCCCACTACAGAACATTGAAAATGCCTGCAAACACTGACTTTACTGACCAGTCAATTAAACTGCAGAAAAGCAAGCTCACGTTGCCTCCCTGATCTGTCCTCCAGAATTGCTAGTTAGAAACGTGCACATTGTCCTAGGTTCAGTTTTGCAAAGATGGAGCCTGGCAGTGAAAGCATTTGTTTGAGTTCATACATTAAGGTTTGCTTTGTCTATTTCTTTTATATTTATTTATTTGTTTTTTTTTTTTTTTTTTTTTTTTTTTTTTTTTTTTTTTGAGACAGAGTTTCAATCCTCTTGCCCAAGCTGGAGTGCAATGTGGCGGTCGCGGCTCACTGCAACTTCCGCCTCCTGTGTTGAAACGGTTCTCATGCCTCAGCCTCCCAAGTAGCTAGGATTACAGGCATGCGCCACCATGCCCGGCTAATTTTTGCATTTTTAGTAGAGATAGGGTTTCACCATGTAGGCCAGGATGTCCTTGAAATCCTGAGCTCAGGCAATCCACCCACCTCAGCGTCCAAAGTGCTGTGATTACAGGCATGAGCACCCTCAGCCGGCCTATTTTATTTTAAGATGGAGTCTCGCTCTGTCGCCCAGGCTGGAGCGCAGCGGCGCGAGCTCGGCTCACTGCAACCTCTGCCTCCGGGATTCAAGCGATTCTTGTGCCACCGCCTCACAAATAGCTGGGATTACAGGCGCCAGCCACCATGCCTGGTTAATTGTTTATTTTTAGTAGAGACAGGGTTTCACCATGTTGGCCAGACTGGTCTCGAACCTCTGACCTCAAGTGATCCGTCCGCCTCAGCCACCAAAAGTGCTGGAATTACAGGCGTGAGCCACCATGCCCGGCCCCATTTCCTTTATTTTATTTATTATTTCGAGAAGGAGTTTTGCTCTTGCCATCCAGGCTGGAGTGCAGTGGTGCGATCTCGGCTCACTGCAACCTTCACCTCCTGGGTTCAAGCGATTCTCCTGCATCAGCCTCCGGAGTAGCTGGGATTACAGGTGCATGACACCACGACCAGCTACATTTCCTTTATTTTATTTTTTTATAATTTACTAGCCTGTTTGTTGATAACAAGACTGGCGGTGCACAAGGTTGGGTCTCGGTGCTCACCGGGAGGCGGGCATGGACCAGGTGGGAGGGTCTCCAGCACCTGGTACAACTCTCCAAGAAAGCGCAGGAAACGGCACTAAGGGTGGTAGTAAAGTTTTGGTTTGGCGAGGCGGGTAGGCGTTCCAGCGCAGAAATGCGCAGGAAAGGTTTTGCTGTGCTTGTAGGGAGGTCATCCCCAAGCTCTTCTTATTGGCTTGCAGTGAGACGAGATCGCGCACTGCACTCCAGCCCGGGCTACAGAGTGAGACTCTGTATCCAAAAAAAAAATAGTGAATGAATATCTATTGATGCATGAAATGGCTGCATTAAAGGAAAACTAGCCAAGAAAAGACAAGGCAAAAAAAAGTCAAGGATCAGTATGAAAAATAAATATATTTTAAAAGATTTGTTTTTAAAGCAACAACACGGGTTTAAATTTTAAAGTGAAAGAAGTAGCTCCAAGATAGAGGAAACAGGATGGCTTCTGAAGAAGGGAATGTTATTCTTTGAAATGGAAAGAAATTATGACAAGAGGGTAGCACAGACTGAAGAGGTGGAGGTAAAAGGGGGTTCTCGGCCAGACACAGTGGCTCACACCTGTAATACCAGCACTTTCGGAGGCCAAGGCAGGTGGATCACCTGAGGTCAGGAGTTCGAGGCCAGCCTAGCCAACATGGTGAAATGCCGTCTCTACTAAAAATACAAAAATTAGCTGGGCATGGTGGCAGGTGCCTATAATGCCAGTTCCTTTAGAGGCTGAGGCAGGAGAATCGCTTCAACCTGGGTGCGGAGGTTGCAGTGAGCCAAAATCGCATCACTGTTCTCCAGCCTGGGTGACTGAGCAAGACTCTCTCTCAAATTAAAAAAAAAATTTAAAAAAGAGTGTGTTTGTGGGGGGGGGGGGTGGTATCTTGACTTTTCTCCATGTGTCTTAGGCCACAACTCTTACGTGGGACCTTGCAGAAGAGATTCCCCAACCAATACCTTTACGGCGCTGCCTCCCTGATGGGCTGGGTTCTAAACAGCAGTGCCTTCCCCATCTGCTCAGTCCTTACTCACCTGGGCACCATCCTCCCGGTACGTCCCTTGAAACCATCCAGGGCTCTTTCCCTTGCTCCAGTAAGGAAATCACATCAGGCTTTGGGATAGAGAGATCTGTTTATAAGAAAAGAAGTAAGATGGACAGGCAGGCATAGTGGCTCACTCCTGTAATCCCAGCACTTTGGGAGGCCAAAACAGGTGGATTGCTTGAGGTCAGGAGTTCAAGACCAGCCTGACCAACATGGTGAAACCCCGTCTCTACTAAAAACACAAAAAATTGGCCAGGTGTGGTGGCAGGTGCCTGTAATCCCAGCTACTCAGGAGGCTGAAACATGAGAATCGCTTGAACCTGAGATGAAGGTTGGAGTGAACCGAGATTGCGCCATTGCACTCCAGCCTGGGTGATAGAGTGAGACTTCATCTCAAAAAAGAAAGAAAGAAAAAGAAAGAAAGAAAGAAAGAAAGAAAGAAAGAAAGAAAGAAAGAAAGAAAGAAAGAAAGGAAGGAAGGAAGGAAGGAAGGAAGGAAGAAAGAAAGAAAGAAAGAAAGAAAGAAAAAGAGAGAAAGAAAAGTAAGACATACTCGTGCTGTTCCTGAATTCAAAGTTAGTCCCTTAGTAGTCACGAAGGACTAGAGGAAGGTGTAAAGGTCTGAAGCATGGAGAAGATGGAGGGACCCCAAAGAGCTGCCCATCTATTAATCTACAAAACACAAAACAATTCCCTAATCAGCAGGTGAAAAGTCACCCAGACAAGTGAAAGCTACACCCAAAATTCATGAGTTATTTGGGGATAGACATCCTTACCTAGTGAGACCAGGCTGCTATAGTTCTCCATCATTACATCTCTGTATCAGTCCTTCTGAGCAGCGTCCAGGCACTCCCATTCCTCCTGAGAGAAGTCTATAGACAGATCCTGGAACATGCCCAACCCCTGAAATGACAAACCCAGGCAGCACTGTTGAAATTAAAGGAAAGATTTTTAAGATGAAGGAAGAGATGGAAGGGTGCTGAAGGATGGAGAGAATACAGTGAGCAGACCAGCTAGGCTGAGAGTGGGGAAGAGTAAAAAAATTAGTGTAACTTCAACAAAGTACCTCCATGTTCATGAATCTTCCTGTTGTGGCCGGCAAACCTCCTTCATAGAAAGGGACATTCCCAGTATTCCATGGTTAGAGCTGGGAATGAATAAATACATTGGTATATGATTTCCCAAATAAATGAAATAGAGTTGAAAAGCACACAGCCTACGCCTGGCAAGGCTTCAAGAATATTACAGTAAACATCTGATATGCAAGTTACTATTTACAACAAAAGCTTAATAAATAGGCACTTCCCCCTTACCATTTTCTTTCTTGTTTTTTTTCTCTTGTTTCATTTTTTTGTTTTTGTTTTTGTTTTCACTTTGAGACAGGGTCTCGTTCTGTTGCCCAGGCTGGAGTGCAGTGGCAAAATCACAGCTCACTGCAGCCTCAACCTCCCAGGCTCAGGTGTTCCTCCCACCTCAGCCTCTGTATTAGCTTTTACTATAGGCATGCACCACCATACCCAGCTAATTTTTTTTGTATTTTTAGTAGAAACGAGGTTTTGCCATTTGGGCAGGCTACTCTCAAACTCCTGAGCTCAAGCAATCCACCTGTTTGGCCTCCTAAAGTGCTGGGATTACAGGGATGAGCCACCACACCCAGCCTTGTCTCTTTTCTTAAAGGAAGACTGTATCTTTCAAAAATATCTACAAAAAGTTTGAAAACCTCTATTGGCCGGGCACAGTGGCTCACACCTGCAAACCCAGCACTTTGGGAGGCCAAGGTGGATGGATCGCCTGAGGTCAGGAGTTCAAGACCAGACTGACCAACATGGAGAGACCATTTTAGTCTCTACTAAAAATATAAAATTAGCTGGGTGTGGTGGCACATGTCTGTAATCCCAGCTACTTGGGAGGCTGAGGCAGGAGAATCGCTTGAACCTGGGAGGTGGAGGTTGCAGTGAGCCGAGATTGCACCACTGCACTCCAGCCTGGGCAATAAGAGTGAAACTCTGTCTCAAAAGAAAAACAACAACAACAACAACAACAAAACCTCTATTGCACTTTGATAATTAGTACTTCCATAAAATAGTATAGATAGTACTTTGATAATTAAATGTACATTGGCTGGGTGTGGTAACCCACACCTGTAATCAAAGCACTTTGGGAGGCCAAGGCAGGTGAATTGCTTCAGCTCAGGAGTTCAAGATCAACCTGGGCTACATGGCAAAACCCTACCTCTACAAAAACATATGTCATATACAAAGTAGCCAGATGTAGTGGGACATGCCTCTAGTCCCAGCTACTTGGGAGGCTGAGGTGGGAGGATTGCTTGAGCCTAGGAGGTTAAGGCTGTGGTGAGCTCTGACCCTGCCACTGCACTCCAGCCTAGGCACCAGAGCAAGATCCTGTCTCAAAAAAAAAAAAAAAAAAAAAGGCCAGGTGTGGTGGCTCATGCCTGTAATCCCAGAACTTTGGGAGGCTGAGTAGGACAGATCATGAGGTCAAGGGATCAAAACCATCCTGGACTACATGGTGAAACTCTGACTCTATTAAAAATACAAAAATTAGCTGGGCATGGTGGTGCACGCCTGTAGTCCCAGCTGCTTGGGAGGCTGAGGCAGGGGAATTGCTTGAACACAAATGGTGGAGATTGCAGTGAGCCAAGGTCGTGCCACTGCACTCCAGCCTGGTAACAGTCAAGACTGCGTCTCAAAAAAAAAAAGAGTGGGTATCATGGTAGGAATAAACTGCACACAGGTCAGACAAAAGTTACAAGGGCATCTGCTAGTATAAACAAGTTTCCTGTGAGACACCTGGTCATGGGTCAGATACTTGAGCATTAGGCTGTGGTCCAGAAAAAAGAAATTTCTGGTGAAAGACTACTCTAAAGACCCACAGGCCCCTCCCCTAGAGCCCCATTAGAGTGAGGTAGAGTTTATAGCCATTCTCCTGAGAGACCTCAAGACCCAATTAGAAGAAAACTATAACATTTGTTATATAGAAGGCATTTTCCAAAGACTAGTTCAAAGATGAAAGATATAGTCTTCCTTTGGATATAAAACAAAATCTCAAGATACACCAAAACTGTTTTGCTTTTACTGAATAATTTTTGTGCATATGTGTTTAGCTGCAAGTGGCTAACAAGCTGTGATTTTCTTTCCTTTCCTTTCCCTTTTTTTTTTTCTTGAGACAGCCTTGCTCTGTCAACCAGGCTGAAGTGCAGTGGCCTGATTTTGGCTCACTGCAACCTCAGCCTCCCATAGCTGGGATTACAGGTGCCTGCCACCACACCCACCTAATTTTTGTATTTTTAGTAGAGATGGGGTTTCACTGTGTTGCCGAGGCTGGTCTCGAAATCATGGCCTCAAGTGATCCACCCACATTGGCTCCCAAAGTACTAGGATTACAGACATGAGCCACCATGCCTGGCCAACTCTGATTTTTTAACTTGTCTTGTGTATTAGGTTCATACTAGGAAAAAAACAGATCAGAGCCATTGGAGCCACGTGAACAGATATGCAGTAGCTCTGCTAGCAACATTGCTTCTTGCTTCAGCTCTTAAGACAGATGAGTTTAGCACGTGTCTGCCCTTGCTCTAGCTGTCTCTGATTCACCCCAACAGATGCACAATCATGTCACTCCATTAGATTCACTTTGGATATCCTATTATTAGATTAAAACCAGCAGGCCAAAACGATAACTTGAGGAAATGATTTCACATCCACAGTGTTCTCATAGGGCCAGTATCATTTAGACATGTCAGGACCATGGTTGCAGGGGAAAGAATGAAGTGTCATCCTTAACTGGCCACCTAATGTCATCAGCATGAACAGGAGGACTTTATAGGATATTATCTGATGTTTTCTGAATATTACCTTACAAATGCTGCTTTATTTATAGCTTAAGAGTAGGGACCCTGTCTTTTAAAGCTTTATACATCCTCAAGTAAAGGTTTTTCATATTAAATCCATTAATAATATCTAAAGGCCGACCTGGAAATTCCATTTCTAAGTATTCATCCAAAGTAAAGATTTTTTTTATTTTTTTGAGATGGAGTTTCGCTCTTGTTGCCCAGGCTGGAGTGCAGTGGTGTGATCTCGGCTCACTGCAACCTCTGCCTCCTGGGTTCATGTGATTCTCCTGCCTCATACTCCCGAGTAGCTGGGATTAAAGGCAGACACCACCACGCCCAGCTAATTTTGTATTTTTAGGAGAGATGGAGTTTCTCCATGTTAGTCAGGCTGGTCTCAAACTCCTGACCTCAGGGGAATCAACCCACCTTGGCCTCCCAAAGTGCTGGGATTACAGGTGTGAGCCACCACGTCCTGCCAAGAATTTTTTTTTTTTTTTTGAGACAAGTCTCAATCTGTTACCCAGGCTACAGAGCAGTGAGGTGATCACAGCTCACTGCAACCTCTGCCTCCTGGGTTCAAGTGATTTTTGTGACTCAGCCATCAAAGTAGCTTGGAATACAGGCACACACCACCATACCCGGCTAATTTTTTTTGGTATTTTTGGTAGACAGCAGGTTTCACCATGTTGGCCAGGCTGGACTCAAACTCCTGGCCTCAAGCAAGGCCACTTTGGGAGGCCAAGGTGGGCAGATCACCTGAGGTCAGGAGTTCAAGACCAGCCTGGCCAACATGGTGAAACCCTGTCTCTAACTAAAATACAAAAGGTAGCCAGGCCTGGTGGCAGGTGCCTGTAATACCAGCTACTCGGGAGGCAGAGGCAGGACAATCACTTCAGCCTGGGAGGCAGAGGTTGCAGTGAGCCAAGACTGTGTCACTGCACTCCAGCCTGGGCAACAGAGTGAGACTCTCTATCAAAATATAAATAAATATAAAAATACAAAAATGCCGGCACAGTGGCTCATGCCTGTAATCCCAGCACTTTGGGAGGCCAAGACAGGCAGATGACTTGAGATCAGGTGTTCCAGACCAGCCTGTCCAACATGGCAAATCCCTGTCTCTACTAAAAATACAAAAATTAGTCGGGTGTGGTGGATCACTCTCTAATCCCAGCTACTTGGGAGGCTGAAGCAGGAGAATCGCTTGAACCTGGGAGGCAGAAGTTGCAGTGAGCAGAGTTCATGCCATTGTACTCCAGCCTGGGCAACAAGAGCGAAACTGCATCTCAAAGAAAAAAAAAGAAAGAATACAAAAAATTAGCGGGGTGTAGTGGCGCATGCCTGTAATCTAGGCTACTGTGGAGGCTGAGGCAGGAGAATTGCCTGAACCTGGAAGATGAAGATTACAGTGATGAGACTGCACCACTGCACTCCAGCCTGGGTCACAAGAGCCAAGAGCGAGAATCCATCTAAAAAAAAAAAGAATTTCTATTTGGGGGACAAAATAAAAGAAATGGAGTGAAAGGGATGTAAAGAAATTGAAAGTCAACAGGCTAATAATGCCAATAAATAATGATGGAGCAAAGAAATCAGTATTGGCCAAATAAAACCAATGTGTTTTTTAATATTTTTTCAAAATTTAGACAAAGCTTTCCAGTACACTGAGACACTTCTCATATCAAGACTTTAATATTGCCTGAGTACAGTGGCTTATGCCTATAATCCCAGCATTTTGGGATGCCAAGGCAGGAGGATCACTTGAGCCCAGAAGTTCAAGTCAAGCCTGGGAAATATAGGGAGACATAGTCTCTGCAAAAGTAAAATAAAATAATAAAATAAAATAAATAAAATAAAAATAAAATAAAATAAACAAAATAAAATAAAATAAAATAAAATAAATAAAATAAAATAATAAGCCAGGCATGGTGGTATACATCTGTGAGCTGTGACAACCCCACTGCACTCTAGGATGGGTAACAGAGCAAGAAAGACCCTGTCTCAACAAAAAAACTAGAATATAGAATAAATGACATTTGGGTAAGTGGAATATTAGGTGTTCAATAAACACAGGTTATTCCCTCCCTATCTCCATAGAATCATCAATTTTTTTAAAGGAGAAGTTTTGATTAGAATCTAAAAATATCAATACTTCTCTTTCCAAAAAAGGAGGGAGAATTTAAATATAACAATTTCTTGGTTATTTCTATTTATTTTCATTGTTGCTTAATATTATTCAGTAATGAAAATGCAATTGCTCTCTTTCAAACATAGTTTTAACTAGTTGCACAAAATGCCACCTTGTAGTCTGAAGTACTTCAAATTTCCCTATCTATGAAAGCTAAATTTGGATATTATCATCTCAAGGATATTATAATCTCTGTGTTTAAATCTATCTAGGGTTCTACCTTTTCTGTAAGCCTTAGTGAGTCTCACTATAGTCCTCCTTCCCTTTAAAAATGCAGTGATAGGCCGGGTGCAGTGGCTCTTCCCTGTAATCCCAGCACTTTGGGAGGCTCAGCTGGGAAGATTGTTGGAGCTCAGGAGTTCAAGACCAGACTGGGCAACATGGCAAAACCCCATCTGTGCAAAAATTACAAATATTAGCCTGGCATGGTGCCATATGCCTATAATCCAGCTACTTGGGAGGCTGAGGAGGGAGGATCCCTTCAGCCCCGGAGGTCAAGGCTGCAGTATGCCCTGATCCTGCCACTGCACTTTTGGAGGCCAAGGCAGGTGGATCGCCTGAGATCAGGAGTTCGTGACCAGCCTGGCCAATATGGTGAAACCCTGTCTCTACTAAAAATACAAAAATTGGTCAGGTGTGGTGGTGGGCACCTCTAATCCCAACTATTCAGGAGGCTGAGACAGGAGAATCACTTGAACCCGGGAGGCGGAGGCTGCAGTGAGCCGAGATTGCACCACTGCAGTTCAGCCTGGGCAAGGCAGAGTGAGACTCTGTCAAAAAAAAAAAAAAAAAAAAAGAAAGAAAAAGAAAGAAAGAAAGAAAGAAAGAAAGAAAGAAAGAAAGAAAGAAAGAAAAAGAAAAAAAGAAAAAGAAAATCAGTGATAGGTGAGACAGCTCATGCCTGTAATCATAGAACTTTGGAGGCAGAGGTGGGAGGATCACTTGAACTCAGGAGTTCAAGACCAGCCCAGATAACATAGTGAGTCTTCTTATCTACTGAAAAGTATTTTTAATTATGCTACAGTGCTAGTGTGTGCCTCTGGTTTCAGCTTATTTGGCAGGCTGAGGTAGAAGGATCACTTGAGCATCGGAGATGAAGGCTGCAATGAGCTGAGATGGTACCACTGCACTCCAGGCTGGGAGAGAGAGTGAGACTCTACCTCAAAAATAAAAATAAATACATAAATAAAAATTCAGCGATGGAGTTGATGGATTTGAGGTTGAGGACCCCCAATGTGAACCCATTTGGAAAAAACTCAACCTGTGTTCTTCCTCTGCTTCACACCAAAACCACAACAATCTACCCAGAAGACTTCTGTGGCCTCAAAATATGAGATTTCTTCCTATCAGCAAGCAAGGAATCAGTTCTGCAACAGACACCAGCTGGGTATCCACCAATTCGATTCTGACACTATCTACCATGAGATAGTGTCACCCCATCGATTGAGAGCTCAGCCCCCAAAACTGCCCCCCTTTCAGACACCAGTCACAAGTCCCAGCCTCTGGAACTTCTGACTGACAGATTTAATTTAGGGTTCCTACGACCCCCTCTTTGGGTTTGATTAATTTGCTAGAATAAAATGGCTCACAAACCTCAGGGAAACACATTTACTGTTTGATTACAAGGATATTCCAAAGGATATAGATGAAGAGATGCCTAGCGTGAGGTATGGGGGAAGGGGCACAGAGCTTCCATCCCCTCCCTGGGCACGACCCTCCAGGAACCTCCATGTGTTCAGCTCTCTGGAAGCTCTCCGAATCCACTCCTTTTGGGTTTGTAAGGTGGCCTCATTACATAGGCATGATTGATTAAACCATTAGCCACTTGCCATCAACTTAATCCTCAGTCCCCTCCACTCCCCAGGGGTGGGAGGTTAGGGGCTGAAAGTCCCAGCCCTCTAATCCTGCCTTGGTCTTTCTGATGACCAGCCCACATCCTGAAGCTATTGGTCAATCCCTAACATATAAAAAGCCAAAGTCTGGGTGCAGTGGCTCATGCCTGTAATCCCAACACTTTGGGAGCCCGAGGCAGGCAGATCAGTTGAGGTCAGGAGTTCGAGACCAGACTGGCCAATATGGTGAAACCCCATCTCTACTAAAAAAGAAAACAAAGACAAAAATTAGCCGGCCATGGTGGCACATGCCTGTAGTCTACTTGGGAGGCTGAGGCAGAAGAATTGCTTGAACCCAGGAGGCAGAGGTTGCAGTGAGTGGAGATTGCACCACTGCACTGCAGCCTGGGTTACAGAGCAAGACTCCGTTTCAAAAAAAAAAAAAAAAAAAAAAGCAAGCCCTTAGGACATTCCAAGGATTTTAGGAGTTGTATACCAGGAAACAGGGACAAAGACCAAATCTGTATTTGACAAAAATCACAGAACCGTATGAGTTTTTAATTCAATACAGACATGGAAACTGGTCCAAGCATTTACTCACAGATGACTGGGCAAATCACTGGTCCTATGGGTACAAATTATTGATCAAACCCCCAATCTCATTCCTACCCCTAAAATATAGCAAAGGGAAAGATCTTATTACCTATTTGGACTGAGATTAACACCATCCCTTAAACTGCATGTCTTTCAATCCCAGGGCTATGGCATGTGATGCCACATAGAATATGCATGAATCTTCTCTCCAGCAATTGAGTTGTTAGGATAAAGGCTCTTGTCTTTGCCTTCTTTCCCTCACAGCCAAGAATGTTAAGGAACGTGGACACAAAGGATGAGGTTGGAACAGAAGTTTAATATGCAAAAGAAGAAAGCTCTCCCCAGCGGAGAGGGGACCCGAAAGAGGGTTGCCAACTAGAAGGCTGAATCTGGGGGTTTTGTGAACTGGGAAGGGGAAGAATGTGCTCACTAGTCTGTGACCTGTCTTGGAGAAAGCACAACTTCGCTTGGCCCGGGACCTTAGCTTGGGACCAACCAGAGGCTGAAGTGAAATTTTGGCCCAAGACCAAGCAGGGGCTGAAGTGAAAGTTTGGCCCAGGACCAATCAGGGGCTGAAGTGATGATTCATAGAGGCTCGGCTCACAGTCCAAAGCATGTCCAGAAAAGGAAAGTGGTCACCAGAGCCTGTTAGTCCAAGCTGCACCGATTTGTAAGCCCCCACCATTTCACAGACCCTGGTCAGAGGGAAACATTCCACTGGGGTTTGGGCTGCGAGAAACATCCTCCCCAACCGCCTGACTTCCTTATCACATCCTGCTGGGGAAAGGCCCAAGAAACATCCTTATCAACATGCTCCCAGGCAACAAGCTATACTGCCCAGATCCCTCCTGCCCAGGCCTATAATTACTCCAGCCTGTAAGCGGCAGTGGGCTCTGGCATTTAGTTGGTCCCCTCCATAGAGCTGCCAACTCTCTCTCTTTCTTTAACCTTCACCTTCCCTTCAAAATCTAACAGAGCCCACCATATACATGCCCACAAAAAAGCGACTATTTCCTGGAAGCCCACTGGTCACACAAAGGACAAAGGCATTTCTATGTTGGGCCTCGGTCCCCTATCAATGCAGCTGAGGAATGTCTTTAGGACAACCCCCTTTGCTAGTTTTCCTTCTCTGTGCCTGCAGCCTGATTTTTCAGGCTGTTTCTCTGTTGAAAGGAGTTTTACCAAGGACCCGCTCTAACTCCCTAAAGGGTTTTTTCTCTCAAGGGGACACACAAATTTCCAATCGCACACATGCCTCCCTATATCCACTTACCCTCTGCCTCACAGCCAATCACACTCTCCTCTCTCACACAGACCACGGGGCCACACAAGTTGCACCTGCACAGCCACAGACCTGCAACTCATGCACACACAGTACTGCACACACACGCAAAGTCACACACCCACCTTGGGACACGCAGCCCCCACTACACAGTCACCGGTTGTCCACATCCGCACACACAGCGCGGCTCGTCCAGGACACACACATCCACTCCGAGCGCGCACAGTCACAAGCGCCCACCTGATCACCCAGAGTCAGCACCACACAGCCACAGTCACAGACCACGAAGACCCACGGCAACCATGGCAATCACACACGCAAACTCCTCTCCTCAGCCCTCCACACACAAAAGGACCAGAGCCGGATTCCTCATCCTCAGCTTTCTCTAGTTCCGCTCGGGGCCGGCCTGGCCAAGTTACTCCGGACTCCAAGGCGTGGCAGCAGCTAATTGGGCACAGCGAAAGATTCTGCCACCTGGCTAAGAGGAAGCCAAAATCTCGCGAGACATGGTATTGGCCCGCAGAATCCTCCGGGAAATGTAGTCCAGAGCCCGACTGCTCCCCTGCTAAAAATACAAAAATTAGCCGGGCCTGGTGGGCACCTGTAATCTCAGCTTCTTGGAAGGCTGGGGCAGCAGAATCGCTTGAACCCGGGAGGTGGAGGTTGCAGTGAGCCGGGATCGCGCCTTGCACTCCAGCCTGGGTGACAGAGCGAGACTCCGTCTCAAAAAATAAGTAAGCAGACATGTCTGCTGCCCACATGAGGTTTACATTCTAGTCTGGAGAAAAAAAAAGATTTTAAATTAAAAGGGGAAGATGAAGTAATTTTATATTGTGATAAATACTATGAAATATATCAATAGGTGGTATAGGCAGTAACTTGAGGGATACTTCCCGTAGCATTGATAGGACGGGTGTCTGAGAGATAACCCTCGAGCTTTGGTGGTGAGGAGCCAGCAGTGTGGAAGGGTATTCCAAGCAGAGGCACAGTTACACTGAAGACCCTGAAAAATCAGAGAGCGCTTGGATCGTTCCAGAAACAGAAAGCAGCCTGGTGTGACTGAAGCTTAGCAAGTGAGTGGGAAATTAGTTTAGATTTAGGATGTAGAAGTCAGCATTTTCCGATTCATATGAGAAAATGATAGTGCTGAGATTACAGGCATGAGCCACTGCACCCAGCCCCAAACCAAGTTTTTATAGCAGCAAGAATAGATACTCTGGTATGGTCAGCGTCTAAAGATTTTACAAACAATATCTCTTCTTTTAGTTTGCAGTCATTATTGAAATAACAAACATGTCCTATTGTCAGGCCTTACTCTCAGTAACTGATTTCATTGATCTGAATAGGAAACTTACTTGATTAATCAGCTACTCTTTGGTATTACCTGACATCTCATTAATGCATCTTTGAATTGAATTATTGCTCAATAGGAGTGATTGTGAAATAGTGGTAATGTGTTACATCACTATTGAAGTTACCGTCTCTCATGTGAGTCTTGTGACAGTTTCAGCAAGTACAAAGCACTATGGGGTTTTACAATGATTTCTGTAATCTTTTCTTTTTTTCTTTTTTTTTTTTTTGAGACAGAGTCTCACTGTGTTAGCCAGGCTGGAGTGCAGTGGCATGATCTCAGCTCACTACAAGCTCCGTCTCCGGGACTCAAGTGATTCTTCTGCCTCAGCCTCCCGAGTAGCTGGGATTACAGGCATGTGCCACCACGCCCGGCTAACTTTGTATTTTTAGTAGAGACGGGGTTTCACCATGTTGGCCAGACCGGTCTCAAACTCCCGACCTCAGGTGATGCACCTGCCTCGGCCTCCCAAATTGCTGGGATTACAGGCATGAGTCACCACACCTGGCCTATTTCTGCAATTTTATAAGGCAATTATTTCATCATAATTTGTTTGCTTATCCTTTTTTTTTTTTTTTTTTATACCGAGTGTTGCTCTATAGTCCAGGCTGGAGCATGGTGCTGCAATCTCGGCTCACTGCATCCTCCACCTCTCAGGTTGAAGCGAGTCTCCTGCCTCAGCCTCCCGAGTACCTGGAATTACAGGTGCACACACCATGCCAGGCTAGTTTTTGTGTTTTTAGTGGAGACAAGATTTCACCATATTACCCAGGCTGGTCTCCAACTCCTGGGCTCATGTGATACACCCACCTCGGCCTCCCAAAGTGTTGGGATTACAGGTGTGAGCCACCTCACCCCACGGCTTGTCCTTCTTAAATAAGAAGTAACAGTGTTACAGTTCAAAATTCTATTTTAAACTTTTTAAATATTCTGTTTCTCGACTTTATCAGGATGTTTCTTTTATTGATGATCCACAAATCTTGATGATTTCATAGCCATTTGTAAAAACAAACAAAAACTATTATTTATAAGAAACAAGCTGTTTTGAGTTAAATGGGGTTTTCAATAAAACTGTAAGCTAGGCTGGGTGCTGTGGCTCACACCTGTAATCCTACCACTTTGGGAGGCTGAGGTGGGTGGATTGCCTGAACTCAGGATTTCAAGACCAGCCTGGGCAGCAGGGTGAAATCCCATCTTTGCTAAAATACAAAAAATTACCTGGGTGTGGGGGCAAGTACCTGTAGTCCCTGCTACACGGGAGGCTGAGACAGGAGACTTGCTAGAACCCAGGAGGTGGAGGTTGCAGTGAGCCAAGATCATGTCTGCATTCCAGCCTGGGCAACAGAGTGAGTCTCCATCTCTAAAAACAAAAACAAACAAACAAAAAAAACAAAACCAGTTGGCCAGATATTCATTCATTCAGATGTAGTCAACACTTTTCATTTTCAGCACTTAACACAATTAATGCTAGGTTGAATTACTTTCATAAGATAAACTATTTTAAATAATTCCCAAAGCACTGAGGATCAATCATAAATACTATCCACAAGGCAGCCAATAGACACACACAGACCACCTCTCATATAACTTTGGGATAGAGCATTCAATCAAGAAAAAGTCTTCCAGGTATAGCCATCAATTTGCCATCATTTTGTAGCACTGATCTTGCAAAGATTTTTTTTTTTTTTTTGAGGTGGAGGCTTACTCTGTCACGCAGGATGAAGGGCGGTGGCACGATCCACTCACTGCAACCTCTGCCTCCTGGGTTCAAGCGATTTTCCTGCTTCAGCCTCCCATGTAGCTGGGATTACAGGCAGGTGCCACCACTTCTGGGTAATTGTTTTGTATTTTTAGTTGACACAGGGTTTTACTATGTTGGCCAGGCTGGTTTGAACTCCTGAATTTCAGTGATCCACCTTCCTTGGCCTCCCAAAGTGCTGAGATTACAGGTGTGAGCCACCGTGCATGGCCTGATCTTGCTTGGATTTTTTATCTTCCATAAAATGATTAATGCTGCCCATCATATATGAGAGAAATTAAATAACAAGGGGTAAAATTTTGTGCAATAGGCCAGGCAAGGTGGCTTATACCTGTAACCCCAGCACTTTGGGAGGCTGAAGCAGGCAGATCACTTGAGATTGGTAGTTCTAGACCAGCCTGGCCAACATGGTGAAACTCTGTCTCTACAAAAAGTACAAAAATTAGCTGAGCGTGGTAGTGTGTGCCAGTAATCCCAGCTACTTGGGAGACTGAGGCAGAAGAATCGCTTGAACCCAGGAGGCAGAGGTTGCAGTGAGCAGAGATTGCAGCACTGCACTCCAGCTTGGGTGACAGAGTGAGTCTCCTTCTCCGAAAAAAAAAAAAAAATTGTGGAAGGCCACAAACCATTGCAACAACTATAATTCATTTTACCTTCAATAACCAATGTTCACCCTCTTAGGGGCAATATCACTCCCATTAAAAATGCTTGGCCAGGCACAGAGGCTCATGCCTGTAATTCCAGCACTTTGGGAGGCCAAGGGGGGCAGATCCACTGAGGTCAGGAGTTCCAGACCAGCCTGGCCAACATGGTGAAACCCCGTCTCTACTAAAAATACAAAAATTAACCAGGCATGGTGGCACGCACCTGTAGTCCCAACTACTCAGGAGGTTGAGGCAGGAGAATCACTTGAACCTGGGAGGTGGAGGTTGCATTGAGCTGAGATTATGCCACTGCTCTCCAGCCTAGGTGACAGAGTGAGACCCTGTCTCAAAAAAAAAAAGAATGCTTCCAGTAAGGCTAAATAAATATACAAATTAGGCATGTGACATGTGTGTTAGTATACGTACAATATATTTCCTAGTTCTGCCCACTAAGAGGGCCTAGAAGCAATGACACACCCATAGCAATGAACACACGTGTCACCCCGATATTGGCGATTTTGTTTTTGTTTGGTTTTTAAAAATAGAGATGGGGGCCTCACTGCGTTGCCCAAGCTTGTCTCGAACTCTTGGCCTCAAGGGATCCTCCTGCCTCAGCCTCGCAAAGTGTTGAGACTACAGACCTGAGCCACCTCACCCAGCCCAAGATTTTGGTGCTTTGTAAATAATACTTTTCAATGAAAGACACCAAGGATCTTTAAATAAATGGTTTATTCCACGTCTGGGTCAGGGAAAATACCAGATGAATCAAAACACTTTATGGTGCCAGAAAGTTGGTAATTAGTCCCACACCCCAACCCCCTGATAAAGGCATGCTATAAATAGAACACAGGAGCCAACCTAAAGAAACGCCCAAGGCCAATTTTTTTTTTTTCTTGACGCAGTTTCACTCTTGTCACCCAGGCTGGAATGCAGTGGTGTGATCTTGGCTCACTGCAACCTCCATCTCCTGGGTTCAAGCGATTCTCCCGCCTGAGCCTCCCGAGTAGGTGGAATTACAGGTGCCTGCCACCACGCCCAGCTAATATTTTGTACTTTTAGTAGAGACGGGGTTTCAGCAGGTTGGCCAGGCTGCTCTCAAACTCCTGACCTCAGGTGATCTCCATGCCTCGGCCTCCCAAATTGCTAAGATTACAGGCATCAGCCATTGCACCTGGCATAAGTTCATATTGTTTTCAGTATCACAACCACATACATGTTCAATTGCACATATACTATGTTCTCTACAAATGTGCAGTTTGGACCTGCCTCATCTTGGTACTCTACAACAAGAGCATTGCATTGTCACACATGTAGACAATGAATTGACTCAGAATCACAAATACTTGTACTGGGGACCTGTAGGGAGAAGTCAAGCCCTAGGAAGAGTACCAGGTCATCATCTGGGAAAGGAAATATTAGGAGTATTTGGGGTGTGAATAGTACTGTATTGAATTCCAATTCATTTCAAAATATATTTCACAGATTATCACAAACCAGGAAATAAGTTGTGTGTATTTTTCTTTGTTTTGTTTTGTTTGTTTGTTTGTTTTTTAGAGAGAGTTTTACTCTTGTTGCCCAGGCTGCAGTGCAATGCCACGATCTTGGCTCACCTCAACCTCCACCTCCCCAAAACCTCTGCCTCCCAGGTTCAAGCGATTCTCTTGCCTCAGCCTCTCAAGTAGCTGGGATTACAGGCATGTGCCACCATGCCTGGCTAATTTTGTATTTTTAGTAGAGATGGAGTTTCCCCATGTTTTTTTTTTTTTTTTGAGACAGATTCTCACTCTATTGCCCAGGCTGGAGTGCAGTGGTGAGATCTCAGCTCACTGCCACCTCTGCCTCCTGGGTTCAAGCGATTCTCCTGCCTCAGCCTCCCAAGTAGCTAGGATCACAGGTGCCTGCCACAGTGCCTGGATAATTTTTGTATTTTTTAGTAGAGTTGGGGATTCGCCATCTTGGCCAGGCTGGTGTTGAATTCTTGACCTTGTGATCCACCTGCCTCACCCTCCAAAAGTGCTGGGATTACAGGTGTGAGCCACCGAGCCTAACCAGTTTGGGTTTTTTGAGATGGTATTACTCTGTCATCCAGGCTGGAGTGCAGTGGCATGATCTCGGCTCACTGCAACCTCTGCCTCCTGGATTCAGGTGATTCTCCTGCCTCAGCCTCCTGAGTAGCTGGGATTATAGGCGCATGCCACCAATCATGGCTTTTTTTTTTTGTATTTTTGGTAGAGATGGGGTTTCACTGGGTTGGCCAGGATGGCCTCAATCTCCTGACCTCGTGATCTGCCCGCCTCGGTCTCTCAAAATGGTAGAATTACAGGCATGAGCAAGCATGCCCAGTGAACTGTGACCATTTTGAAAGCCATGATTTATGGGAATAGCAGTTCTTTCTCTTTGTGTAAATAAACAGAGGCCACCAAAATAAGAACAAAGAGAGGCTTATGCATACAGAACTTGCTACAGAGTAAGGGATCCATTTGTTTAAGTTGTCTATAGATTCTGGATATTATTAGGCCTCTGTTGGGTACATCGTTTGTGAGTATCTTCTCCCATTCTGTAGTTTGTTTACTCTGTTGATAGTTGGTCTTGTTGTGTTTACGCTTTTATTTTAATTTTTTTTTTTGAGGCAGTCTTGCTCTGTCACCCAGCTGGAGTGCAGTGGTGCGATCTCAGCTCACTGCAACCTCTGCCACCTAGGTTCAAGCAATTCTCCTGCCTCAGCCTCCTGAATAGCTGGGATTACAGGTGTGTGTCACCACCACCTAATTTTTGTATTTTTATTAGAGACAGGGTTTCACCATGTTGGTCAGGCTGGTCTCAAACTCCTGACCTTGTAATCTGCCCAACCTGGCCTCCCAGCTTCTGGCTTAATTAGGTACCACTTGTCTATTTTTGTTTTTGCTGCAATTGCTTTTTTGGAATCTTAGCCAAAAATTATTTGCCAAGGCCGATGTTGAGAAGAGTGTTTCCTAGTTTGTCTTCCAGGATTTTTATAGTTTGACGTCTTATATTTAAATCTTTAATCCATTTGGAGTTAATTTTTGTATATGGTGAAAGGTAGGGGGCCCAGACTCAGTCTTCTGCATGTGGATAGCCAGTTATCCCAGAATCATTTGTTGAATAGGGAGTCCTTTCTTCATTGCTCACTTTTGTTGACTTTGTCAAAGATCACATGGTTGTAGGTGTGTGAATTTATTTCTGGGTTTTCTAACCTATTCCATTGGTCTATGTGTCTGTTTTTGTACCACTACTATGCTATTTTGGTTACTGTAGCCTAGTAGTATAGTTTGAAGTGGCATATATGATGCCCATCAGCAGTGGATTGGATAATGAAAATGTGGTAATTATACACCATGGAATACTACATAGCCGTAGAGAAAGAAACCATGTCCCTTGAAGCAACATGGATGCAGCTGGAGTCCATTATCCTAAACAAATTAATGCAGCATCAGGTAACCAAATACCTATGGTCTCACTTATAAGTGGGAGCTAAACATTGAGTACACATGGACACACAGATGGGATCAATAGACACCAGGGTCTGCTTGAGTGGGGAGGATGGCATGAGGCTATGGGTCAAAAAACTATTGGGTACTGTGGTTACTACCTGGGTGACAATATCATTTGTACACCAAACCCCAGTGACATGCAACTTACCCATGTAACAAGCCTGCACATGTATCCCTTAAACCTAAAAACAGAAAAAAATTAAAAATAAATAAATAAATGAGATATAAGTCTAATTGTTGAATGTTGTGAATGGTAACCAATAGAGCCATTGGAAATAGTGAGAGTGGTCGGGTCGGTGGCTCACACCTGTAATCCCAACACTTTTGGAGGCCGAGGTGGGTGGATCACAAGATCAGGAGTTTGAGACCAGCCTGGCCAAGATGGCGAAACCCCGCTTCTACTAAAAATACAAAAATTAGCTGGGCATGGTGGCTCGTGCCTGTGATCCCAGCTACTCATGAGGCTGAGGCAGCAGAATCACTTGAACCTGGGAGGCGGAGGTTGCAGTGAGCTGAGATTGCACCGCTGCACTGTAGCCTGGGTGACAGAGCAAGACTCTGTCTCAAAATAAAAAAAAAAGAAGAAAAGAAAAGAAAAAGAAAATAGTGAGAGCACCATATAAGGAAAGTGGTACAGGCACTGTGGTAAGGGGTGAGTGTCAGCCAAGTCATCAGCTATCAGAACACGAAGCCATCAGGTAATATATCAAGTTGATACATTAAGAAGGAGGGGCCGGGCGCGGTGGCTCATGCCTGTAATTCCAGCACTTTGGGAGGCCAAGGCAGGCGGATCACGAGGTCAGCAGATCAAGACCATCCTGGCTAACACGGTGAAACCCCGTCTCTACTAAAAATAAAAAAAAAAATTAGCCAGGCCTGGCGGTGGGTGCCTGTAGTCCCAGCGGCTGGGGAGGCTGAGGCTGCAGAATGGAGTGAACCCAGGAGGTGGAGCTTGCAGTGAGCCAAGATCGTGCCACTGCACTCCAGCCTGAGTGACATAGCAAGACTCTGTCTCAGAAAAAAAAAAAAAAAAAAAAAACAGAAGGAGGAGGATCTACCTATTATATAACAGAGATAAGCACTCAGATATATGGATTATAAATAGTTTAGAAAATTTAAATATTTGATTATTCAGAAAGTAGACTTGGGACTATTGGAGACACACGGTGGGGAGTAGACTGCATGGAGAGCTCCTTCTTAGTGTGGGATTTTCAATTATGCCTTACATAACATGGAAAATTCAATTAAGAAACAACATTGTGTTTTGGGGTCCCAAAAGTTCAGTGATTGATTAGAAGGACTCACAAAACTGAGTCCAGCTGTTATACTCATAGTTATAGTTTATTGCAACAAAAGGATACAGATTAAAATCAGCAGCAGAAAAAGGTGTATAGGGCAGAGTCCAGGAGAAACCAAGCACAAGCTTCCAGTTGTCCTCTCCCAGTGGCATCATGTGAACAGTGCTAAATTCACCCAACGATATGTGGCAGAAAGTACAGAAAATACTCCCCAACAAGAAGCTTACCTGAGCCTTGGGGTTGAGGGTTTTACTGGAGGTTGGTCTCATGGACAAGAGCACCCATTTGGATGACCTTAGTTTCTCTGTCTCCACCCTTCCCAAGGTCAAGCTGACACTGCATGGTCCAAGGTCCCCACAATAAATCACATTGTTAACTTCCAGATAGGCAGGAGATTCCAAGGACTTAGAGGTTATTTCCCAGGAGCTGGGCTAGAGTCACACCATTCTTTGGAGTATGCCAGGTTTGGGCAATTCAGGCCTACTAAGTTTCCTTGACTGCACACAAGTGATAGTGAGTATGTAGGAAATAAGTAGTCACATATATTGCTGGTGAAATTAGTGTTATATAACCCTTTGGAAAGAAATCAAGTGTGTAGTGCATAAACATTGTATTTGGTTTGATTCGTTTTTGTCTAAGACAGGTTCTCACTCTGTCACCCATGCTGGAGTGCAGTGGCATGATCACAACTCACTGCAGCCTCGACCACCTGGGCTCCAGCTATCCTCCCACCTCAGTCTCCTGAGTAGCTGAGAGCACAGGCACGTGCCACCACACCCAACTAATTTGTGTGTTTTTTGTACAGACAGGGTTTCACCATGATGCCCATGCTGGTTTCAAACTCCTGGGTTCAAAGAATCCCCTACCTCAGCTCCCCAAAGTGCTAGGATTACAGGAGTGAGCCACTGCACCCAACCTATATTTGTATATACATTAAATTGTATATGTTAGGCCAGGCGCGGTGGCTCACATGTGTAATTCCAGCACCTTGGGAGGGCAAGGTCAGCAGACCACTTGAGGTCAGGAGTTGGAGAGCAGCCTGGCCAACATGGTGAAAACCCATCTCCACCGAAAAGACATAGCTGGACTTGGTGGCAGATGCCTGTATTCCCGGCTACTCAGGAGGCTGAGGCAGGAGAATCACTTGAATCCAAGATGTGGAGGTTGCAGTGAGCTGAAATCACACCACTGCACTCCAACCTGGGTGACAGAGCAAAACTCCACCTCAAAAAACAACCAAAAATTTGGGTATGTTATTGTATGTATGTGTATATATTAAGTTGTATATACACATATTAAATATATATACATTTATTACATTTTATACACATACATTTGTTTCCTCATGCAATTTCTTTCAGCAGAAGTAAAAATTAATAAAGGTATAAGTAAAAGAATATTTACAGAAGCACTATTTTTGGTGGCAAAAGTACTTTAGCATTTTAAATGCTCATATAATGGAAGATACTTTAACTCTTACAAATAATGAGTTAGCTTTTTATCTACTATAAAGATATCCTAATATCTTTATACCTAAAGTGATATCAATGGCAAATTGTTATATGAAAAAGGAGAATGCTTTATAATTGAAGAAAAAAAGAAAGAAACGTTATATAGTAGCCCTCCCTTATCTGCAGGAGATGTGTTCTAAGACCCGCAGTGGATGCCTGAACCTTGGATAGCATTGACCCAATTGCTGTCAATCAGAACACATTTCTGTTTATGATTTCCATGCACAAATTTAATGCCTTTTTCATCTTAACTAAGTACTTATCACACATGTGGCTGTATTTTTAGAGCTTGGGGTCCAACAAACAAGACTAACAGAAATTTCTTTTTCCTTCTTACATTTTCACCGCTAGAGGATTTGTTCTTACCATCGATCCTAGCAACCTGAGCACATGACTTCTTTTTCTTTCTATTTTTTTTCTTTCTTTCTTTCTTGGTTGCTTGCTTGCTTGCTTGCTTCCTTTCTCTGTCTTTTTTTCTCTCTCTTTCTTCCTTTTTTCTTTGTTTCTTTCATCTTTCTTTTTTTCTCTCTTTCTTTCTCTTTATTTATTTATTTATTGAGATGGAATCTCACTCTGTCTCCCAGGTGGGAGTGAAGTAATGCGATTTCGGCTCCCTGTAACCTTCATCTCCCAGGTTCAAGTGATTCTCATGCCTCCACCTCACAAGTAGCTGGGAATACAAGCGTCCACCACCACGCCCAGATAATTTTTGTGTTTTTTGTAGTGATGGGGATTCTCTATGTTGGCCAGGCTAGTCTTGAACTCCTGACCTCAAATGATCCACCCGGTTCAGTCTCCCAAAGTACTGGGATTACATGCGTGAGCCACCGCGACTGAGCTGTGTATGCCATTGTATGATTGCAAATAATTATATGAATCTTGGAGAACATCATGGAAAGATGTTTATCATCCTGTTAACTGGTTATTTCAAGAGTGGAACTGGAAGGGGAATACTGCCTTTCCTGTGTATTTATTTGTAATGTTTCATTTTCATTATGAACATGTATTATTTTAATATGTTTAAATATTAATAAACACAGGCAAAAATATGTAATTTTAATTCAAGCTGAAATCATCAAGGCAATCATACATAACAGATGGAGCAAATAAAACATTTAAAATCCCTGAATGAAAAGGAGGGGAGGCCAGGCATGGTGGCTCACGCCTACAATCCCAGCATTTTGGGAGGCCGAACCAGGCAGATCACTTTGGGTCAGAAGTTTGAGACTGCCTTGGCCAATTGAGACCCCTTGACTCGATTGGAATTGGTCCCACAAACTTTTTTTTTTTGAGGGAGTCTCACACTGTCACCCAGGGTGGAGTGCAATGGGGCAATCTTGGCTCACTGCAACCTCTGCTCCTGGGTTCAAGCAAAGCTCCTGCCTCAGCCTCCCTAGTAGCTCGGACTTCAGGCAATGAAACTAAAGAAAGTCAGAGGATGGCTAAAGGTTGGAGGATACCTGGGCTGGGGGAGGAGGGAGAATGCAACGGGTGAACACAGACAGGCTTCCAAAGTGGTGTCCAGGTTGTATTTCTTCACTAGGTGGTGGGCACACAGGCATGAATTTTTCCTTATCTTTAAATTGTACATATTTCATACACTTCTCCGTATGTATTATACATTTCAAAATAGTACATCTTTTAAAAAATCACAGTGGTTAATGCAATCAGTACAGGTGCCAGGCACATACCAGAGACTCCAGGTGATGGCATGCTCTCCTCTTGGGCTCCTCATCTAGGGCTGAAAGTTTATTTCTCACCCCTGCTGCCAGCACCCGCCATGCCAGCCCATGTCTCTAAGTGCTGAGGGGAAGGTGTATGAACAGAGACAGATACGGCCGTGGAGGAACCCGGAGGGAGGACCCTCCACTTGGTGAGGACAGATTGTGAGGCTGGTCAGCGCTGAAGCTGAGTATCTTGCTTACTAGAGCAAAGGGGAACTGTGCTTATAGGACCATCTCTCAGAGCAAAACAAATTGAGTCTCTTGGGAAGCCTGGCATTGAGGATTGTCCAGCTTTCAGAAGCGAGAGTATTCAGCCTGACTTCAGGGGCACAAGGTTCTTGCTGCCTGGGCCTGTTCTGTAGTGTGGAGCTGTCCCTGACTGGCCGGCTTTCAGAAGCATGCAGCATTGTCATTGACTTATTGGGGTTTCATGCCACCACAGCCAAAAAGCAGTTTGTTTTTGTCCTTGAGTTTGGACAGGCAGGAAGCACACAGGAACAGGTAGCGCCAGGTGGCTGCAGGCCGGTGGTCTGGCTGGAGCTCAGTGCAGAAGCACAAGACGGTGGTGAGGAGTGAGGCAGACCCAGGGGACTGAAATGCCACTGGAAAGAAGATTCCACCCAGAGCAGTGGGGTCCACAGAGTGATCCTGAGAGGAGATTTACACAGAGATGCGTTTGAGGAAAAGCAGAGACCAGTGGGAGTGCTGGTGCTCTCTGCCAGAGGAGAGGCGACAGTGATCGGGACGAGATAGAGACACCGAGGCGGTGAAGACGGAGAGGCCATGTGAAGGTGGAAGGGACAGAATTTGGTGACAAGCGTCCAGACTGACGCCCAGGTTTCCACCTGGGGAGACCAGAAAGTGGCAGGGCGAATTCCAATGCCAGGTCTCCGGGGAGAGCACGCTCAGGAGGAAGATGAGAGTCCGGGTCCCTGTGGGATGGACGTGGAACCCTCCAGGGGCATTGAACTCTATAGATCTTCCAGTCAGGGGCAGAGGGGTCCAGGGCAGAGGAGACAGAGATCTGGGCACCACCCACGAAGGCACAGTGGGCAGGGGATGGAGCCCTCTGGAGGGAGCTAGCGCAAGGGTGGGAGAAGGAGCTTGCAAAGGAAGCAGAGCGGCAGCCAGGACAAGGGAAGGCACCCACGAGGAATTTGCCTGCAGACCCCAGGGTTGAGTAGGCTTTAAGGAGGAGTGCATGGGGAGCATTGGGCCGCTCACAGACTGAATGCACAGAGGCTGGTGTGGATGCCTGTGGCCTCTGCCCTTGCAACAACCTCTGTCTTGGGTCAGGTTTCCTGGAAGCAGAGCTGAGATGGAATTCCTGTGGAGGTGATTATGGAGGGGGTGCTCCTAGGAAAGGAGAGTGGGGGTAGAGAGTCGGTGCAGAGAGCTGAGCAAGGCTGTGACTGCTTCAGCCTGGTTGGATGAAGGGGAGCTTGGGAGCACTGCACCTCACGGCTGTCCCTGCCTTGAGGCCAGGACCATTTTGTGTCTCCTCTCCCTCCCCTCATCAATCAGGCACTGGGTTGTGGGGGAGGGTGTGACCTTCTGGGTGAGGCAGTTTTCCCACTTGGCCTAGGGCAATGAGCCTCCCCTATCCTCAGGCAGCCACCATTGCCTGAAGACAAGTGAGACCCCATGTGCTTGGGCAAAACCAGCCCCTTCCCAGCTCCCAGCATTCAGGGAGGGTGTTTGAGTAAGACCACCCTCAGCTGCCTCCTCTGCTGGCAAAATCCCTGTCACTGCTTTCCCCACTGTCTGCCACTGTAGACCCCAGGATGAAGCTCATTATGCTGCTTCTCCCTCTGTATGGAAAGTTCGAGTCCCCCCAGGCCACCCCTTGCCCCAGACAGCTCTGTATATACCCTTCTCAGACCCTTTCCCCCATCCCCAGTTCCCTCAAACCCTTCCACTCTCGAGCTCCTGACCAGCCATGAGCAACGTCCCCCATATCCTAAACTTTTTGTAAACCAAAAATAAAATTCTGAGGGCCCCCTAGCCACCTGAATGGACTTCCTCCTCTGCCAGGGCACTCTTAAAATGTAATCTGAAAGACTGGTTCAGGCCATGATGGGAAGTGGGGATCGGACTTGCATGATTATCGCTCCAGCATTAACATCAACACACTTTAGTCTGATAAGAAATATTTTATAGTCTATTCTCTCTGAAGCCTGCCACCTGAAGGCTTCCTCTGCAAATAAGAACTTTGGTTTCCACAATCCTTTATCTTAACCCAAACATTTTCTATTGATCCCAGGTCTTTAAATCAACTCAACCAATTGTCACCCAGAAAATTTTTAAATCTGCCTATAGCCTGGAAGTCCCCCCTCACCCACCCCCCGCCTTCTAGTTCTCTTGCTTTTCTGAACCAATTTATTTCTTAAATGTATTAGATTGAGGTCTCACATCTCCCTAAAATGTGTAAAATGAATTTGCACCCTGACCACCTTGGACATATGTTCTCAGGACCTCCCAGGGGCTGCATCATGGGCCATGATCACTCAGGTTTGGTTCAGAATAACTCTCTTCAAATATTTTACAGAGTTTGACTCTTTTTTGTTGACACTTTGAGCATCCCCTTGACTGTGCTGTAACTGGAGATGGACACCCGCTCGCCCCTCAAGGACCACATCGCTCTGCAGCACTCCTCCTCTTCTTATAACTTTTGGTGATTTCCGTTTCCAGGGGGTGATCCCTGCAAAACCCTGGCCTGCTCTCCTTTCATGGTCTTGACCTCAAAACTACCCCAGCCCTCCTCTCCCATGGCCACACCCTAGATATTGTGGCCCATAACCATAAAGTCTTCTCTCTCCACGAAGACAATTCCGAGTGGCCAACCAGCAGCAGGAGTATTGCCATCTTGGACAAGCACTGCCATTTTAAGTTCACCCTGATCAAAAACCGCCTAAATCCAAAGGGCATCAGCCTAATGGCTAAGGTCAGCATGACCAAAAACCACAAATAACATCTCAGACCAGAAACATTCCAAACCCCTCCCTCACCAGAGGCATGCCAGCCCCGAGATAATCTCCCCTCCGGCCAGAGATATGTCAGCCCCAAGGCTGCATTTTGTGTTTCTTTCCTCTTTCTTTAACACTTACACTCCTGATTGTGTCCAGCTGACTTCTGCAGTGCCTCACCTAAACATTCCTTCAATGGCTGGCCTTACACTCCACTGATCCCTCCACATTTTCACTGTGGTCACCCCTCTGTCCTCCCTCCCCGCTCCCAGGTATTATGGTGGGCACCAAACATTCTCAGCAGCATATGCCAGTTCCTCCAAGTCTTCTCTGCATTAGACCAACGTCCCCAGGCCCGCAGTTTTCCCCAACAGGATATGGACCACAGATCAGCCATGTCCTAGCATCTTCACCTGGTGCTTCTGTCCATGTCTTCTTGTCCCTGGAAAGCATGTTCTCTGAGAGCAGAGATTGTGTTTCCTGCATCTATGTCTCCTGTTGCCCAGCACAGAATTGGTGCTCAATGAAGATTTGTCCATCCAGATGAAGAATGGATGGGTGGCTGGATGGGTAGGCAGATGGATGATGAGTGGGTAGTTGGGTAGGTGGATGGGTGGGGACAGATGGATGGATGGAGATAGATGGATGATGAATGGATGGATGGATGAGTGGGGGGATAGATGGATGGGGATGGATGGATAATGAATGAATTAGTAAGTGGATGGGTGGGTGGATGGATGGATGGGAATAGATGGATGCTGAATGGGTGGGTGGGTTGATGGACGGATGGGGATAGATGGATGATGAATGGATGGGTGGGTGGGTGGATAGATGGATAATGAATGCATTGGTAGGTGAATGGGTGGATGGATGGATGGGTAGATGGGGTGGATAGATGAATGGGTAGATGGGGTGGATGGATGGATGGGTAAGTGGATGGATGGATGGGAATAGATGATGAATGGATGAGTGGGTGGATGGGTAGATGGATGGGGATGTATTGATAATGAATGAATTGATAGGTGGGTGGGTGGGTGGGTGGATGGATGGGTGGATGGATGGATGGGTAGGAGGATGGGTAGATGGGGATAGATGGATGATGAATGGATGAGTGGGTGGGTGGATGGATGGATAATGAATGCATTGGTAGGTGGATGGGTGGATGGATGGATGGGTAGATGGGGTGGATAGATGGATGGGTAGATGGGGTGGATGGATGGATGGGTAAGTGGATGGACGGATGGGAATAGATGATGAATGGATGAGTGGGTGGATGGGTAGATGGATGGGGATGGATTGATAATGAATGAATTGATAGGTGGGTGGGTGGGTGGATGGATGGATGGGTGGATGGATGGATGTGTAGATGGGGATAGATGGATGATGAATGGATGAGTGGGTGGGTGGATGGATGGGGAGGGATTGATAATGAATTGATAGGTGGATGAGTGGGTGGATGGATGGATGGATGGGGATGGATGGATAATGTAAGAATTGGTAGGTGAATGGATGGATGGGGTAGATGGATAATGAATGGATTGGTAGGTGGATAGGTGGATGAGTGGATAGATGGATCGATAATGATTGATGGATGGATGGATGGGGATGGATGGATAGATAAATGGATTGGTAGGTGAATGGACAAATGGATGGATGGATGAGTGGGTAGCTGGATGGGGAATGAGTGGGTAGGTGGGAGAATGGATGATGGATGGATGGATGGATGGATAAATGGAGGGATGCATGATGAATTTCTCCCTTGTTCCCAGCCTAGTCCTAGAATATGTTGCCTATTCTCAAAAATAAGGTACCACAAAGCCTCTGGTGATGGTGGAGCAAAGGAATAGATGGTGAATGTCTCATACCCACTTCGGATCCAGAACAGGCCTAGGAGAGACTCAGGTGGGATCTGCTGCTGAGGAAGGGGGTTGGGGCTGAAGTTGGAGGAGGAGGGCAGCTCTAAACCACCTCTTCCTGGCTCTAGGCCTCTCAGGCCAGACAGCCCCCACCCGTTTCTGCAGATGCCCGCATCATGGTCCTGAGGGGATGGGGGCTGGCCTGGAGCCTTTCCCCCGTAGTGTGTGGCTATAGCGGGGACGTGAAGGGGGTGTGTTGGGGACGTAGTGACCACTCCCTTCTACCGTCAGAGATCCTGCTTCCCCCTGCCCCCTGCCCCTCCTCGGCTGCCCTTCATAACCCCCCACCCACTCCCCACCTGCCATCTCCTGTGCTTGTGTGGATCCAGAAAACACCTACCTGGGCACAGAGATCATCGCTTGGTGCCTCGCCCCTACACAAGGGCGATTAACTTCTCTGTTATGAACTCCTACTTAGTAATTCTGACATGAAACTCCCACTAGGATAAAACTTGGCACAGAACAGCAATTACTGAAAACACATTTTTAAAAAGGTTGACGTTTTGTAAGAGTTCATCCTCCTCCACTCCTCAGCCTCCCTCAAGGAGACACATATTTAGATCTTCTCTGTGTGAGTCTAACTTGGAGACTGTGAGTTGCAGTTTAAAAGGGGCTCTGGGGCCAGGTGCAGTGGCACACACTTGTGGTCTCAGCTACTCAAGAGGCTGAGATGTGAGGAACGCTTGAGCCCAGGAGTTCAAGACCACCCTGAGCAACATAGGGAGATGGGATCTACCCAAAACATTTAACAATAAGGCTGGCATGGTGGCATATGCCTGTGGTCCCAGCTACTTGGAGGCTGAGGCAGGAGAATCATTTAAGCCTGGGAGATCGAGGCTGCAGTGAGGTATGGTTTCAACTGCTGTGCTCCAGCCTGGGAGACAGGGCAATACTCTGTCTCTAAAAAATAAAAAATAAAAATAAAACAATAAAGGGCTCTGAGCCCAGCCCTCTGGCCAGGGCCTGGTGCAGTGGCAGAGGCTTGGGTCCCTGCCAGGTCTCCTGAAACGTCTCCAGGGTCTGCTGGGGCAGCCACCTGGGTGCTCAGTTGCTCTGTTAAACAGCAAAATTCCCAAGTCCTCATCTCAATGAGCCACTGAGGCCGATGAAGAGGGCCTGTCTCATTTAGGCCATGAGTGGCCAGGTGGGTGCCACAGGCCCTTTTCCTGGTGACAACAGTGCCATTGCATGGCTCAAGGAAGGCCACATCATTTCCCGGGCTTTGTAGGCACCTGCGGGGCGGAAACAGTTCAGCAGGGCCCTCCTGATCACAAGGACGAGTTCATACCGGCTGCTGCACGGCAGGGCTGCACTCTGCCAGGGAGCGTCCTGTGAGGGAGGGGCTGCACTGCCACTTTACTGACGAGGAAATTAAGGTTCAGAGAGATGAGGTCATTTGTTAGAGGCCAGACAGCCTCCTCAGCCCATTTCTAAGGTTGTTTCTGTGGTATTTGCCATAAAGCCATAGGTTCATTGATTTGTTCTTAAGTAGTTCTGAGCCCTTCCTGCATATCAGGCAGGGACAAATAGGAAAGTCCCTGCCTTTGGCAAGTGCGGGGGAAATGAAATGATTCTGCTCAGCCTCATCCATTGGTCTGAACAATCACGTCTCATGACCGCAGGGACGCGGCTTCCCCTGAACGCGGATCCTAGAGGCCAGGCAGAAGCAGCATGGGTTTCCACTCACATGGTAGGCGGCTGTGCGATTTCGTCTGGAGTCCCCGGACCCCTCCTCATCCTTCCCAGGGTTGCTCTGAGGCCATTCCTCGTCATCTAGGAGGGGTCTACATAAAAGCATTTATAAACACCTCCAAATGGGAGCCAGGCGCGCCCACCTTTGGAGCACTTTTCTCTACTGCAGATTTATCTACTGCTCATGAAATCTCTGGATTTAACTCTGATGAAAGACTGGAGGCTGAAGGAGAACTTCAATATCATATATTTTAAAGGTTGACTCACAGTTTGGAGCAAGAATGAAAGAACCACGAACTTCAAGGTAAAACGGGCAACGGCGTTGGGGCAAGCCTCTCTGCATCTGCGTGTCCAGCCTCTCCTGCATGCCAGAAGTCCCCAGGCAGGAGTGTGGTGGGACATCCGGCTGGGGTAAGGACAGGCACCCTCCCACTGTGTCAGGGCCCAGAGAGTGGATGGAGAAGCTCTGCAAGAGACCTGCACAAGGGCGCCTTGTAGGAGCCTGCAGTCCCCACAGGGGTGTTTGTGGATAACACTTGGGGAGCCCTGGCCTTTTGGGGTCACGGAGGGCTTGGCCTCTCACCTCAGAGCTGCAGAGGAGCCACTTCTACATCAGGACCTCAGAAGCTGGAAAGGGATGGCCGGCGAGGGGCCTCTTGTTGGGGTCACAGAGATGGGTCTCAGAGATGGCCCGTGTGGAAGGTTGGATTCTCACCCCACCTCTGCCCCTAGATGTCCTGGTGACCCTCCCCTCTGTAGTCTTTGTTTTTTGCAAAACAGTTATGACCTCCTGCCATACTGGGTACTTTGCCTATGTATTGTGTTTACTCTTTACTGTGTGTCTCCCCTGCTAAGGTCTACGAAGAAGGGTCTTTGTGGGTGGGGTTCTTAGAGGCATCCCAAGTACCAGAAGCAGTCCCTGGACTAAGGGGCTCAAAAAATATTTTTTATTTATTATTTTTTCTTTTTGAGATGGAGTCTCGCTCTCTTGACCAGGCTGTAGTACAGTGGCACAATCTTGGCTCACTGCAGCCTTCGCCTCCTGGGCTCAAGTGATTTCCGGCTAATTTTTGTATTTTTAGTAGAGACGGGGTTTCACCATGTTGGTCAGGCTGGTCACGAACTCCAAACCTCAAGTGATCCACCTGCCTCAGCCTCCCAATGTGCTGGGATTATAGACATGAGCCACCATGCCTGGCCAAATATTTGTCAAATTGAATTTGTATTTCCATACAAATTTTAGTCTGGATGAAGTGCTTCATGCCTGTAATCCAAGCACTTTGAGAGGCTGAGGTGGGCGGATGGCTTGAGCCCAGGAGTTTGAGACCAGCCTGGAAAACATAGAGAAACCCCGTCTCAATATAAGAAGAAGAAGAAAAAGAAAAAAAAATCAAAAATGAAAACACCACAAATTTTAGAGTAAGTATTTTAAGGTCCACAAAAACCTGGTTAGGATTTGGATAGCAATTTCTTTAGTTCTACAAATCAATTTGGAAAAAATTAATTAATTTGGGAAGAATTCATTTTGAGTCTTCTAATCCATGAACATGGTATCTCCATTTGTTTAGACCATCTTTAATGCCTACTAATAACATTTCTGTATAGTGACCTTGTACATTATTCTTAGATTCTTGATATTTTGTGCTATTATGTCTTTTTATAAATTTTATTTTTCCAACATTGTTGCTAATATATAGTAAGAAAATGGAATCTTGCCTATGGATTTTGAACCCAACAACTTTGCTAAACTCCTCTGAATCCTCAGAATTTCCCTGTGGATTACGTAGACTCTTCTGCATACACAACCATATCATCTGTGAATAAAGACAGTTTTGTTTTCTTCTTCACAAACTTTACCCAACTCACTGTGCAGTCTGCCACATCCAGGCTGATATTGAATAGCAGTGGCACTAATAGGATTTTTGTCCCCTTGCCAATCTTTCAAAGAAAGCTTTCAACATTTTCCTGTTAGCTCTGTTGGCAGCTCTGACTTTTTCCATAGATGGCCTTCATCAGCTTAACAACGGGTCTTTTCTTCCCAGAGGGCTGAGCTTTTCCTTAAGAACAGACGGTGAGTGTCATCAAACACTCGGCTGCATCTGTTGAGATGGTCATACGACTTGTGTCTTTTCCTGTGTTTGTGTGTGAACTCTCTGGGTGTCTGAGAGTTCTTGTGACTTTCACAGAAGAACACAATTTACCTTCCGGTGTGGGAAGGGGAAGGAGGCAGAGGAAGAAAGACCCCAAGTCCCCCTCATCCCCACTGACCTTCCTGCTGGCTTCATCCTTGATCTGTGCCTCCTTAGATCCTGTGTTTGAGTACTTGTGGTCATGATGACAGGGCCAACCTCCTGATCAGGGCTGTTGGCACCTCCCCTGCTGCCCAGAGCCCCTGCTCCAAACCACTTCCTTCATCTTCTGTACCCCCAGCCAATATTTCCCTGCTCAGTGTCAACCCAGGCCCAGAACCAGACCACAAGGGACAGCCCCGGAACCCAGAATCAGACAAATCAGCCCGTCCCAAGCTCTCTCCCCTGCTCTGCCCGGCTTTCCAAGGGAAGCCAACACAGGCTGTGGCTTGGCCTTTCCCTCGCTCCTTTCTGCCTCCTGGTCTGCCTGCGGCTTCCCCGTGCCGCCCTGCGGGGCCTGCCACGTCTCTCATTTCTAGCGAATGTTTCAAGAGCAATGTTAGACTTTCCTTTCAATAGCGTTGACCTCTGTTAGGCACCTTTATGGATTAAGACCTGAGCATAGATGGTTTCTTGGGCATCACGACCTGAAGGTGCTTGGGAGAGACGGTGAGGAGGAGAATGCACCCTGCCATGCTCTGCACCGCACATGGATGCGGATTTCACCATGTTGGCCAGGCTGGTCTGAAACACACGGAGCCCAAGCGCCCGGTGGACCCTCTGACGGTCCTCGGGCGTGTGCCATTGTAAGCAGAGTATTCAGCTCTCATCAGGGCCTCACCAGAGCAGAAATGGTCTGTTGATAAATGCATCGTATACAATTACAAATGTGCACCCAGCATTGCTGCTTCCTCTTTTTTTTTGATATAGGGACTTGCTCTGTCACCCAGGCTGCAGTGCAGTAGGGCAGTCACAGCTCACTGCAGCCTCAACCTCCCAGACTCAAGCAATCCTTCCGCCTCAGCCTCCTGAGTAGCTGGAACTACACATCCAGCTATTTTTTTTTTTTTTTTGTAGACACAGGATCTCACCATGTTGGCCAGGCTGGTCTTAAACTCCTGGGCTTAAGTGATCCGCCCAACTTGGGCTCCCAAAGTACTGGCATTACAGGTGGGAGCCACTATGCCTGGCCTGCTTCCTTTTGCAAACAGGAATCTTGTAAATAGAATTGATCAGAACTTGTTGTTTAACGTACACAGACCTCTAGCTGTACTGCAAAGCTGTGTGCACGTGTTAAGTCATCTGTTCTATGTGTTCTAATTATAAATAAGAAAAAACAAATTTCAATCAGCCATGCTGGAGGAAGAGCAATTATGTTTCTATTCCTTCTATCGTAGGTGATGTAAAATTCTCAAACAATGAGATAGATAAAAAGTACACAGCCAAAAAGTGCAGGAAGAAGTGTTATGGAGATGGAGCAGGCCCTTCGTAAAAACACAATGTTGGTTTTCTGGATTTTGTATGTTTGTGTTTTTTTTTCCTCATCCTAAAGAAATATTCACTGTCATACCTAATTTTGTTTTTGTAAGTTTGTATTCTTTTCTTTATAGGGAGGCCTCACAAAACCTGGATCAGACTCGCCCACTGCCCTGTGTCTGCCCTCCCGACCACCTCTCCTGCCCAGCAGGGATGAGGGTGGCAGTGGTGCTGTGTGGAGGGTGGCGGGAGGACCGGGAAGACTGCGACCAGTGAGCCGGGAGGCCTTGGGACAGCCTCTCTCTGAAGCATCCTGTGCACTGCCGGGTGTGACAGAGGCTCCTAGAATCCTGCCTCAAGTGGCCGCCTTCACAGAGGGAGTCACTGACGTCCCTGCTCAGCATAGCCCTGGCATGTGGGGGTCCCTCTACTCATGAGAAACCCCCACCCAATCACCATGAGGTGTGTGACCCATGCTCACATCCAGGGGCCACTCATTCATTCAGGAAACATTGGCCGAGCCCTCAGCAGGGGGCAGTGCTGGATGCCGGGATATAGAGAGTGGGGTGGGCATCAGTGCAGCGGCGGGCAGGGGTTCGATGGGCTGAGTCCTGCAACGTGTTGCATCCACACCAGTGTCTGGGGCCAGCACCACCGCTCAGTCTCTGAACCCACTTATTTCGCCCAATATTGGGTGAGTGGGAAGTTCCACCTTCCCCAGTCGGCTGCTTATCTCGTCTTTCCAATGCAGTTAGGAAGGGAAAATATTTTCTCCCCATTTTACAGATGAAGAAATGGGGCCTGGGGAGGAGCAAAGCCCAGAACTGCTGCCCACCACCCTCCCTGCCTGGTGCTTTCCTGGGAACATCCTCCCATCTGTAATTGCAGGCCCCGGTCTGCCTGTGGGGATGTGGAATGTGTCACTCGGGATCCTGGAGTCCTCCTGAGCTTGTCCAGCAGGGCTACATTCACTGATGTGCTGACAGAGGCCTAGGCTCGGACCTTTAGGAATATCCAAGGCATCTCATTATGCAGAAAACCAACCTCATGAGGTCCTGGGGGCCTCTCTCCATCTTCCTGGAGGTGATGCAATAGAGCGTAACTTCCAGGCTGCCGAGGCAGGCCATGAGGGGTTGCCCCCGTTGGAGGGGCAGAGTGGTATTTGTGGGGTGGTAGGAATCATTCAATGCCCACCTGCAAGCCCCCGGGCTCACAGCACACTATTAAGGCCAGTGCTAGCAGCTCCCTTGGGTGGATAGAGGAGCTACGGCTCAGAAACATGCCCCCAGCTCCCCCAGGACCCTGAGGCCAGCCTGTGGCAGGGCCTGTGATTTAAACCCCTCTACGAGGCTTTAAATCAGTGCTGTTTGTCCTGGCCTCATAAAACCTGGCTGCCCAGTTGGGATTGGTGTCATCTGCCTTGCTGAACTGGGCACTCCTTGGGAAGAGGGTCAGTGCTGTGAGAAGGCAGTGGATCCTGGCTGTGCAACTTTCGCAGGTGGCTGAACCTCTCTGTGTCTCAGTTTGCTCATCTGCAAAGGGGGCTGGGATTCCTGCCTACCTGCATGTGCTCAAGAGGGAAAGCCAGCCAGGCATGGTGGCTCACGCCTGTAATCCCAGCACTTTGGGAGGCTGAGGTGGGCAGATCACTTGAGGTCAGGAGTTCAAGACCAGCCTGGCCTAAATGGCAAAACCCCATCTCTACTAAAAAAAAAAAAATACAAAAATTAACTGGACGTGGTGGCGGGTGCCTGTAATCCCAGCTACTGGGGAGGCTGAGGCAGGAGAATCACTTGAATCCGGGAGACGAAGGTTGCAGTGAGCTGAGATCCCACCATTGCACTCCAGCCTGGGTGACAAGAGTGAAACTCCACCTCAAAATAAATAAATAAATAAATAAATAAATAAATAAATAAATAAATAAATAAAATAAAGTAAAGTAAAAGAGGGAATGCTGAGAGCCGGGCATGGCCTGTGGCTCTGTAGCTACTCAGGAGGCTGAGTCAGGAGGATTGCTTTAGGCCAGAGATTCCAGGCTGCAGTGAGCTATGATCATGCCTGTGAACAGCCGCTATATTCTATCCTGGGAAACACAGTGAGACCCTGTCTCTGAAAAAATAAAATATTTAAAAAAGAGTGAATGGTAGGTCAGGGTCTTCTGTGGTGGGGTGGGTCTGGGCAGGGGTGGAGGCCCAGCCAGAGTCACTGGGGTCAGGGAGGGACTGGTGACAAGAATGCACAGCCCTGACCAGGGAAGCACCCAGGGAGCCTTCCCCGTGAGGGGGGACCTGGCCTCACCCTGGCCTCACCCCCGGCTGTGAGTTGGAACCAGCATGGAGGGAAGCCAGGCCCAGTGCACTCTGCCCAGGGGGATGTAGTTTGGCCAGTGGGGGCTGCCATCAGAGGCTGTCATTACTGTGGGGTTGCTTGTGGACGCTTTCCCTTCCGAAGCCTGGAACCTTGGGTCCCCATGCCCTCCAGCTCTGTGTCTCCTTCGTGGGCACCAGGAAGACACATTCCCTGGCCTCCTTTGCAGTGGCTGGCTGTGGAAGGAGGTGCCTGGGGTCAGGTGGGTGTAGGTGGGTACGTGGCATCACGAGGACATATTTTTGTAGAGGGAATTACATTCTTTCTTCCAATTTTTTATTATTAAAGTTTTCCAATTGAAACCACCCACACCCCAAGCCTGGGGCCGGCCTCCCATCACTGCCTTCTCAGCCCTGGGGAAGGCCTCCTTCTTTCTGCATGGCCTCTGGGCCCATCTGAGCATTCCTTTTTCCTGATGGGAGAAACGCCTGGTGGGGGAGAAGTGGATGTGGGTGTCCAGGCGAGTCTCAAATCCCAATGGCTGACCCGGAATCCCCCCTGCACACCTCTCCTCCTGGTGCCCAGAGGGGGTGCCCACTCTGCTGCCAGGGATTTCCTGAGCAGCTGCTCCAACCACAGCCAGGGAAGAGTCCTTGCAGGAACTCTGCGGGCTGGGCCTGCCCTCCCCAGCCTTGGCATCTTCTTGTTGGTGTCTGAGTTTGAGTCTGTTCTGTGGGCTCTGTGGGAGGTGGGCCCAGCTTCTCACCATGCAGGACCCCTCACCCAGAGCCTGAAACCCACTTTGACTAACATGCCTCTGGGTTCCTTCACTGGCCCTGCCCAGTCACATCCCATGGGAAGAAGGACTGGCTGCTCGGGGTTCTCAGACCCTAGCCTGGGAAAACCAGTCTGAGGGCAGGGATAACCCTTGGCCCTGCCTCTGATTGGGCCCTGAGTTAGGTGGGGTTCTTCCCTGCTGGGGGTCCTGGAGGCATGGGAGGGCTTTGGGGTTCTGTGTGAGAGAGGCCTCAGTCCCTTCAGTTCTCACAGATCCCCCAAGGCTGTGTGTCTGATCCATTGCTTTACATAAGAGAGGAATTGGAGCCAGGCAAAGCCCAGGATTAAAATGGGTGGTGGAGCGGGGAAGCTGTGATTTGAATGTGTCCCTCTAAAAACACGTGTTGGAAACTCAGTCTTCAATGCAACAGTGTTGGGAGGTAGGGCCTAAGGGGAGGTGTTTAGGATGATCCATGGATGATCCATGCAGGTAACAAAAGGCCTCGAGGCTGGGCATGTGTTCTCTCACTCTCTCACACTCTCTTGCCATGTGATGCCTTCTGCCATGTGATGACACAGCAGGAAGGCCCTCGCCAGATGCAGCCCCTCAAACTTGGACTTCCCAGCCTCCAGAATCATGAGCCGAATCATCTTCTATTTTTTATTTTTTATTTTTTTTGAGACAGAGTCTTGCCCCGTCACCCAGGCTGGAGTGCAGTGGCATGATCTCTGCTCACTGCAAGCTCCGCCTCCTGGGTTCACGCCATTCTCCTGCCTCAGCCTCCCAAAGAGCTGGGATTACAAGTGTCCGCCACCATGACTGGCTAATTTTTGTGTTTTTAGTAGAGACGGAATTTCACCATGTTGGCCAGGCTGGTCTCGAACTCCTGACCTCAAGTGCTCCACACACCTTGGCCTCCCAAAGTGCTGGGATTACAGGCATGAGCCACCACACCCGGCCTTTTTTGTCTTCTTATAAGGAGGTGAGTTGTATTGAATCAGGGCCCACTCCAATCAGGTGTGACTGCGTCTTCACTTGATTATATCTGCAAAGGCCCTATTTCCAAAAAGGTTGCATTCATAGGTACCAGGGATTGAGGCTTTAACATATCTTTTAAAATTTTTATTATTTTTTTGAGACAGAGTCTTGCTCTGTCACGCAGGCTGGAGTGCAGTGGCGGGATCTCGGCTCACTGCAACCTCCACCTCCTGGGTTCAAGAAATTCTCTTGCCTCAGCCTCCCAAGTAGCTAGAATTACAGGCACCCCCACCCACCACACCATGCCTGGCTAATTTTTGTATTTTTATTAGAGCTAGGGTTTCACCATGTTGGCCAGGCCGGTCTCGAACTCCTGATCTCAAGTGATCCACCTGCCTCAGTTTCCCAAAGTGTAACATACCTTTTTGGGGGACAGAATTCTACCCACAAATTCTAGATAAGGAGGCATTGCTTCTTTTTTCTTCTGGTATTGAATGTCACTTTGGAGAAGTCTGATGTCAAGTTGGTTTTCTTTGCTTTATAAGATACTTGGTCTTTCTGTCTGGCTGCCTAAAGGATTATTTCTTTATCTTTAAAGTCCAGTGACTTTACAAAGGCATGTTTTGTGTTGACTGTTCTGGGCCAACACACACAAGTATACAGCATGCACTTTTACAGGCAGGCACAAGTCTGCCTGCATTTCAATAAAGAGGTCTTGAATGATAGTTTCAATCCTTGTTCAGCAGGTGCTGTGGTGCACACCTGTGGTCCCAGCTACTCAGGAGGCCAGAAGTTCAAGGCCAGCCTGGGCAACGCTAGCTTATATGAGATCACCTCTCACATAAATCAAGCAGTCAATACTTGTTCTGATCTGTTAGAGTTTTGCCTATCGTATATGTACGCTGGAGCCCCTTTACTGTTTTTTCTTTTTTTTTTTTTTTTTTTTTTGAGACAGAGTCTCGCTCTGTTGCCAGGCTGGAGTGTAATGGCACAATCTCAGCTCACTGCAACCTCTGCCTCCTGGGTTCAAGGGATAGTCCTGCCTCAGCCTACCGAGTAGCTGGGATTACAGGCACACATCACCATGCCCGGCTAATTTTTGTATTTTTAGTAGAGACAGGGTTTCACCATCTTGGCAAGGCTGGTCTTGAACTCCTGACCTTGTGATCCAACTGTCTTGCCTCCCAAAGAGCTGGGATTACAGGCGGGAGCAACCGCGCCCGGCCCTTTACTGGTCTTTTATAGTCACTTTCTCTCTAATCCTTTTTAATCTCTTTCCTCTTTCTTTCTATTTGCTCACTTTTTCCTTTTTTTATGTGATTTCCGTGGTGTCTGTGCTCTCGTATTACCTGTAACTTCATTTCTTCATTTCCGAAATGGTTTTCTCTTTTTCTTCAGTTTCCTTCCTGAATTCTGTCATTTCCCACCACAGACTCCGCTGCCGTTTGGCCACCTCTTCCCTGTGTTCTTATTCTGTGCTTATTCTCCTCTGTTCTTATTCTGTGCTGTAGTATCCCTTCGGAGCTGAAGTTCTTGTTGGAATATTAGATCATGATTTTCATCTGGTTTGTGGCAGTATTTGTCTGATGAGATTTCTTCATTTGTAGGAAAATAGCACTGCTTTTATTTTTTATTTTTATTTTTTAAGACTGCAGCTTTCTCTGTGACCCAGGCTGGAGTGCGGTTGCACAATCGTAACTCACTAGAGCCTTGACCTACAGCCTGCACTCGAGCAATTCTGCTCTGCCTCCGGAGCAGCTGGGGACTACAGGTGCGTGCCACCATGCCTGCCTGGGTTTCTTTTTTTATTTTTTTGAGAGAGGGTCTCCCTCTGTCACCCAGGCTGGAGTGCAGTGGCGCAATCTCAGCTCACTGCAATTTCTACCTCCTGGGCTCAAACGATTCTCCCATCTCAGCCTTCTGAATAGCTGGGACTACAGGTGCACACTATTGTGCCTGGGAATTTCTTCGTTTTTTTTTTTTTTTTGTAGAGACAAGGTTTCATAATGTTGTCCAGGCTGGTCTCGAACTGCTGGGCTCAAGTGATCTGCCCACCTCGGTCTCCCAAAGTATTGGGACTATAGGCATAAGCCACCATGCCTGGCCTTTTTTTTTTTTTTAAGTTAGGCACTTAGGTCTCCTTATGTTGGCCAGGCTGATCTTGAACTCCTGGCCTCATTCAATCCTCCCGCCTCTGTCTTTCCCACAAAGTGCTGGTGTTACTGGAAAAGGGGGGGCTCTGATCCAGACCCCAAGAGAGGTCTCTTTGATCTCATGCGAGAAAGAATTTGGAGCGAGTTCACAGAGTAAAGTGAGAGCAAGTTTATCAGGAAAGTAAAGGGATGAAGAGGAACTGAGGTCTCCTCCCCTCCCTTTTGAGACCTTATAAGGTAACCTCCAGACATTGCCATGGCATCTGTAAACTGTCATGGTGCTGGTGGGGGTGTCTTTTAGCAGCAAATGCATTCTAATTGGCATATAATGAGCCGTGAGGACAATCAGAGGTCACTCTCATGGCCGCCTTGGTTTTGGTGGGCTTTGGCCGGCTTCTTTACTACAACCTGCTTTATCAGCAAGGTCTTCATGACCTGTATCTTGTGCCGACCTCCTATCTCATCCTGTGACTTAGAATGCCTAAACTCCTGGGAATGCAGCCCGGCAGGTCTCAGCCTCATTTTACCCAGCTCCTGTTCAAGATGGAGTTGCTCTGGTTCCAACGCCTCTGGCATTGGGATTTCAGGTGTGAGCCACTGCGCCTGGCCAGCATTGCTTTTGGAAGTGGAGAGTGTGCCCATTTTTGTTACTCGTTTATTTGAATAGGATGGCTGTTCCGGCCAGGAGGTGCTGGGCCACGGCTCCTGGGAGGACCATGTGCTGCCCTGCTGGATACCTCAGCACCACTCGCTCCTGTTGGCAGCTGAGCTGGCCCACCTTGAGGTCCTGTGCCTGGGTTACAGCTGGTGGTGTGTGGGTGCACAGTGATGGCAGGCCTCTGAGAGCTGGGGCGGGCCAGTGTGGCCTGACTCTGCCTGTAGGAAGCTCTAGAACAGGTCACGCTGATCTGCAATGAAAAGTTGCCTCTGGAGGGGGTGCAGTGGGGACAGATGAGCACATATCTTGGAGGTGGTCAGGTTCTTATCTTGGTGGAGTCTGCCTTTGTCAACTCCCTGAGTGACACCCTTGAGACCTGTATAGCATGCTGGGTTGAACTGTGACTCCCAAATTCATGTGTTGAAGTCTTGACCCCTGTACCTCAGAATATGCCAGGGCAGAGTCAGCAAAAAGAGGAAAGTCTCCAGCCAGTTCCCCAGCTCTGAGCCTGTACCTGCCTTGGGGCCAGGAGAGGCTGGGGTGTGGGAGAAATGCGTATTTGGGTTCCTCTGCCAGAGCATGGTCCTCCGTGGAGTCGGCCTCCTGCAGAGGGGAGCAGCAGGTGCTGTTGCATGCTACCGTCTCCCCTAAGCCTCTCAGGGTCTCCTTAGGAAGAGGGTGCATGTTCCCTCCCAGGTGCAGCTCACCCCTACCTCTGCCCCCCACATTTCCCTCCCCCCACCCCAGGCAGCCCCCAAGACTTTCCTTGCCCTGAACTCCCATCTGCCTCCCGGGTCTGTCCTCTGTCCCTGGCTGCTCGGGTCAGCCTGGCCTCCGGTTCTCTCCCTTTCTGTCCCTTTTGCACCCTGCCTCCCTCTCTAGTCTGCGGTGCAAGGCTGTGTTGCCGGCTGTTCTGGGGATGCTGACAACATTAGCGTGGCTCATGTTTATCGTGGGTCTAGCTCCTCTTGTACAGACATGGTCCTCTTCCCTTCCTCCACGGAAGCAGAACCCTGATGCGTGGCGGGGCATGTAGCTGGCCGGAATGAAAACCTGCATCTCCCAGCTTCCTCCCTGACGCTAAGTGGAGCCGAGCTGCTAAGTCGTGGCCAGTGGGTTAAAGGCAGAAGTGCTGTAGGAGACTTCCAGGAAGATGGCTAAAAAACAAGCTGACTCAGCTGGGACTTCCGGGAGGGGCCCTTTTCTGCCATGTACTTTTCCAGCTTTCTTCCACCTGTCCTGTGGTCTTGATGGCTGGAGCACCAGCAGCCACCTTGGACCATGGAGTGGCTTTGAGGCTAGACACCATGCATGGAGGATGAGGAGCAGGACAGCCAGGATCTGGGTCCCTGAGGACATCGAGGAGCTGCCACCTCACCCTCAGTCAGTCATCCCCAGATTCTCCCTTCAGAAAGAAATCTGCTTCTTTCTTGTTTATGCTTCTTTTGCTGGGATTGTCATATGCAGCGAAACCAAACTGTGGAGTCCCGATCAGCTGATAGAAATGAGGAAGGAGTTCCCTCCTCTGCACAACTCCATGGCACCACATGCCCTAGCTGGCAAGAACATGAACTAGGGTGGGGGAGAGCCGTTGTTCTAAGAAATGGCTAACCACAAGCAGCCTGCTTGCACAACCTCCTGTTACCAAATACCTCGCTCTGCAGGTTAGCTCCAGCAGCATGACCCTGTCTGCATGGGGCCTCTCCTGCGTGACCCTGTCTGCATGGGGCCTCTCCAGCGTGACCCTGTCTGCATGGGGCCTCTCCAGCGTGACCCTGTCTGCATGGGGCCTCTCCAGCATGACCCTGTCTGCATATGGCCTCTCCAGCGTGACCCTGTCTGCCTGTTGCCTCTCCAGTGTGACCCTGTCTGCATGTGGCCTCTCCAGCGTGACTCTGTTTGCATGTGGCCTCTCCAGCATGACCCTGTCTGCATGTCGCCTCTCCAGTGTGACCCTATCAAACTTCACCCTGGCCTCTGCCCCTGGGGAGGTGGCCTTCTCTCTGCCATGCTGCCTGCTGTTCTCTTGCAAGGTGTCTTCAGACTTTCTTTACCCATGACTGTCTTGGTAAATTCTTTTACCACCTGTGACACCAGCCCCAGCCAGTTGCACCTGCAACACTGGCTGCAGTGGATTCCTTGTTGCTGATACTCCACATAACCTTGCTAGGTGTCATATATGATCATTCTTTAACAGAGGGGCAAGCTGAGGCTCAGAGAGGTTAAGGCACTTGCTCAAGGTCACACAGCAGAGAGGTTGTGGGTAAGCCAGGCTGCTGGCTTAGAACACTGCCATGGCATTTCTCAGATCACCTCGCTCAGGGACTCCTGGCAGTTCCCCCTGCGTCATAGCGGTGAGTCTGTCCAGGACGAGCCACTCCAGGCTACCGAGGGCCAGCTGGAGGGCCTGCCGACACCTGCTGTGGAGTCAAGGTCCACACCATCAGCCAGAAGAGAGGTCTCAGGAGGGGCATTAGTGTTTGTCCTCGCTGTGATTGCACCAACTGACAAATCAGCTGTGGGACAATGGAAAACACAGCAGCAGCTTGTTACTGAGAAGGGAGAACTCAGGGTGGAACTGACCCCTCTGCAGATGGCTTGGTGAGAACGTGGCCTGCCCTGTTGGCTCCTCCCTCTGGGTATTGGAATTGCTGGGCAGCCAGAAGCTTACCTGGGCTTACTGGCACCCAGGGAGGAGAAGCCCTGAGCTGTGCGGCTGCTGAGGAAGGCTGTCTGCAGGGGTGAGCCCGAGCGCTGAAGGAGGCCAGTGGGCTCAGCCCACTGTCTCCATTCTTCTTCCTACAGCAACCAGGGTGCTTTGGAAAGGGTCAATTGCCCCCCCTTACCAGGTACGGATGCAGGAGGGGGAGCGAGCCATTCCTCTAACGTCAGTGACCATGTCTTGGTTCCAAAACCCCTTAAGCCTTGGGTTATCTATCAGCAAAAAGAGAAGGGAGGTGCTCAAGGGGTCTTTGTGGAGATCCTCTGCTCCCCTCGCCTTGAATGTGGAGAGGGCCCCAGACTCCCTAGGGAAGGCAGGTGATATAGACTCCAGGTGTGCCCTGCTCTCTCCTCGGCACCACTCTGCAGCACCACAGGCAGTCTGGGGTGCAGATAACATCTCCCTGGGCACAGCTTCGCACCAGGACATGCTTGGGGTAGAGCCACACTTGCACGGCCTGTGGATCCCTGCAGCCTGGGGATTGGGCTGCTATTCCCACTGCAGGGAGGGAGGTGGTCGGAGGTAGGGGCTGCTCCTACCTGGGTACTTCTGGCCTCACCAGAAGAAGGGGGAGGGTTTGCACATTGAGTGACACCTGCTCCATCTTTGTCCCTGTATTTACATCATTATTCTGAAGGCCAAGAGATTGGACCTGCCGGAGCTCCATGCACAGACCCTGGGCAGGTGCATGTGGGCTTCTGGCTTCCTGGTGTGCACAGCCCCTTCTCTCCCTTCTGGACTGTGGCAGTGTACTAGGGACATTGTAGCCACTGTGTAAAGTCTCCCGCTTTCTGGGACAATTTTATTCACTCATGTGTGTTGAGAGCTCATTTTGTGCTGGGGTCCCTGGGGAGAACGCTGGGTTCACTCATAGTTCCACAACAAGGGACCTGTGGCCTTTGTTGTGGACAGGGGCCAAGAGCACGTAGAGAAGGCACTGAATGCTCCTTGGCTTCCAGGGGAAAGATCAGGACTGGAAGGATGTGGGAACTGCCCAAAGCTACAGAATCTGCTGTCTCAATGGCTGAGCAGGGTGCAGAGTGCATGCGGCTGTTTGTTCTGTGGCACTGGTAACGTTGGCACTCCTCCAGGTGTGAAGGACAGCATGGGAGTGAGCCTGTGAAGTTATAGGCAGAGTCCAGGCAGCCCCAAGCCTGGGTGGGTTGTAGCTGTCAGAGTGGCAGCAGGTGGACAGAGGCGATGGGCTCGGGGGTAGGCGGGGGAACCCGTTTGAGTGGGAGTCAGCCTGGGGGCATCTCAATCCCTCTGATGCCTGGTTTGGGTCCCCAGCACTACTTAGCCCACCCCACTGAGCCTGTCTGTGCCTGGCCTGGCACTGGTGATGCAGGGACTGAGTCAGGCAGGGCCCGACCCAGAGAGCCCATGGGCAGACAGTGTTGGTGCTGTATGCCCGGGCTTAAACCAGCAAGCCTGATTCTGAATGTCCACAAGCTCTTGGCTGGTGGGGCCACAGGACTGGGACCCAAGCCTCCTAGCAAGATGGGTGAGGCCATCTGTCATCGGTCCTTCTCTCAGGCCACCTGGTACCCTGTGACCCACTTGGTGTTGACCAGGTGCATGGATGCAGAGCTGAGCAGACAGTCCCTGTGTCCCCAGTCTGGTTGGGAGTGCAGGGGTCTGGAGCCCATGTGAGCCTGGTGAGAGCCTGGGAAGGAACCACTTTTTCCATGGCAGAGCTGAGTGCAAAGCACGCTGTTGCTCTGCTCTGGTGGTGGCATTTTACTCTGTAACCTATTCATCCACACACTCATGTATTTCTCCACCCACCCATTCATCTACTTATCCACCCATTCACCCATCCATCCACTTATCCATCCACCCATCTACACATCCATCCATCTACCCACCCACCCATCCACCCACCCATCCATACATACACCCACACATCCATCACTTATTTGTTCATCTATCCATCCATTCCCCATCTCTCAATCCACCTACTCACCCATCCATCCACCATCCATCCATCCATTCATGCATCCATCTACTCATCCATCCATCCATCCATCCACCCATTCACCCACCCACCCATCCACCTATTGACCCATCCATCCACCCATCCATCTACCCATACTTCCATCTATCCACATACCTGCCCATGCACCCACTCATCCATCCACCCACCCACTCACCTATCCACCCATCCACCCATCCATGCATCCATCCATCCATCCACCCACCCACCTGCCTCGTCCCTCCGTCTGAAGGTCATTATGGAACAGCTGTGAAGCTGAGATGCTGGGGACCCAGTGGTTACTCAGGACAGTCATGGACACTGCCCTCTAGGCTGTGCTTCCTGGCAGGCAGGAGCAGTGAACAGGACCCTTTGCAGATAGTGGTGTCTGCTGTAAAGGAGAGAAAACAGCGAGAGTAAAAGAGTTGAAGAGTTACTGGGGTCTCCTGGGACTCTTCCATTCTGAGTCCTGAGCCCACCGAGAAGTAAGGCATGAAGGCAGGTGCTGGAAACCCAAAACCCTTCTATCAGTGCCAACCCCTCCATCAGGTTGTAAACCAAAAGGTATCTGAGACAGGTCTCAATAAATTTAAAACACTTATTTTGCCAAGGTGAAGTAAGGGCCTGTGACACAGCCTCAGGAGGTCTTGACAACATGTGCCCAAGGTGGTCAGGGTACAGTTTGCTTTTATTTTTATTTTATTTTATTTTATTTTATTGAGATAGAATCTCACTCTGTTGCTCAGGCTGGAGTGCAGTGGTGTGATCTCGGCTCACTGCAACCTCCGTCTCCCGGGTTCAAGCAATTCTCTGCCCCAGCCTCCCCAGTAGCTGGGATTATAGGCGCATGGTACCATGCATGGCAAAGTTTTTGTATTTTTAGTAGAGACGGGTTTTCACCATCTTGGCCAGGCAGGTCTCGAGCTCCTGACCTCGTCATCCACCCGCTTCAGTCTCCCAAAGTGCTGGGATTACAGGCGTGAGCCACCATGCTTTCTTTTATACATTTTAGGGGGACATGAGACATCAATCAATATGCGTAAGATGTACGTTTGCTTGGTCAGGTAAGGCGGGGCAGCTTGACAACTTGCGGGGGTGGGGGACTTCCAGTTCCTAAGTAGGTAAGAGACAAACTGTTGCATTCTTTTGAGACCTTGATTGGCCTCCCATTGAAACACAATTTAGTCTGGCTCAGGGAATCTGTATTTTTATATCAATAATAGGGCAGAGGAAGCCATCAGATATGGATTTGTCTCCGGGGAGCACAGGGATGGCGTTGGGTCCTGTCTGTCATCTGTCTATGAGGAATTTCCTTGTGGGCAAATTTTGAGGGAGGTAGTGGCTTTTTAGTCTCTGTAGCCATCTTATTCAGGAGTGGACTGGGAGGCAGGTTTGCCTGAGCAGTACTCAGCTTGACTCTTCCCTTGGCTTGGTAATTTTGGGGCCTGAGATTGATTTTCCTTTCACAGGGTGTAGCAGGCTTAGTGCCAGGGCCCAAGAGACTTTTAGGGGTCAGGAAAGTGGTTTAATGCCTTCTAAAATCAGAATAAACACAGTGCAGCCTGGGCTATAGTCATCTTTCTACCAACGCAGTTATGAAACATCATTTGTAATACTTTAGCCCAGAGGAGGGGCCCACAGATGCTGTGATGCCAGGCTGCCCGTTATTCCCAATGGAGGCTGGTGGGAGGACGTGGCTCAGAGTGAAGGCCAAGGGGGCCTTCCCTGAACCCCAGAGTGGAGGGGCCACCTGCCCAAAGGCGCAGCCCAGGCCAGCCTCCAGGGAGCCCCCACCTGTTCAGCAGAGCAGGCCACCCCTGCAGGTGGCAGCGGAGAGTGAGCTCAGCCTGCCCTGCAGAACCCGCCTGGATTTGCCAACCCCTCCCTGCGTGGGGGTGGGTGACAAATGGTGGGAGAGAGGCAGGGGTCGGAGAAGTCAGTTTTCTCCACGTGGAAGGAGGCTCGGGAGTTGGGGAGGACACCCCCACCTTCCCCGGCCTTTTGTTGCCCTACCCAAGGGCCTCGTGGTCACACTTGTGGTGAGCTGGGGGGCCGCCCCTAGGGAGAGGAGAGCTGTCGGGGTCCCCTTCATGAAGCCACTCCCAGGACTGCAGGGGGCCGTTTGGGTTTACCCCCCATGAAACTGCCTTTGCAAAAATTATAACTGAGGAAATGATGACAGTGAAAGAAATCAGACCTAACCGACTCCATATTCCTTCTAACCTAATTTAAGCTGTCCTTATTCAATCCTGGGCGTAGGCCGAACTAACTTTGGGAAGGAATTCAGTTCATGGTTTGACTCTGAAACAAAATTGGTAACAGCCCTTTCCCGAATAGACCCCCTTCTTGCCTGAGGACCATTCGGCCTTTGTAGGACTAACAAATTAGCTGCAAGATTAGAAATTATGGTTTAGGGGTCTTGTGGCCTCCGGCTGTGAGAGTCTGAACCTCCCCAAATTGCTTCTGGGGATCACCTCACTATTGTAAAACCTGAGATCAGTGCTGGGGATATTCTGCAGACCCCGCACTCATGGATCAGCTGACACCACCTAGACCAGTCATCTGGCTCAACCAGTTCCGCCATCCCACCCAGGAACAGAAGACAGCAAGAAAAACTCACTTTGACCCCCTATGAGTCCATCTCCAAACGGACCAACCAGCATTCCCCACTTCCTGAGCCCCTACCTGCTAAATTATCTTTAAAAACTCTGACCCCCAAATGCTCGGGGAGACCCTTTTGAGTAATAATAAAACTCTGGTCTCCCCACAGCTGGCTCTGCATGAGTTACTCCTCCCTTGCAATTCCCCTGTCTTGATAAATCGGCTGTGTCTAGGCAGCCGGCGAGGTGAACACACTGGGCGGTTACACCAGGATTAATGAAACTGACGCAAAGCTCCTTTGTGCCAAAGCTGGAACTCATGCCTCCCACCCGCCGTCCACGTGGTATCCAGCTGCACAGTCATGCGGTGTCCAGCTGCATGGTCACGTGACATTGCAGCTCCGCCGTGGTGACGGCAAGACTGTGACACACGGCGGCCCCACGCGGTGTCCACTGCACAGTCACACGACATTGCAGCACTGCCGTGGCAAGACTGTGACACATGGCGGCCCCAAGCGGTGTCCACTGCACAGTCACGCGACATTGCAGCACTGCTGTGGCAAGACTGTGACACATGGCGGCCCCACGCGGTGTCCACTGCACAGTCACGTGACATTGCAGCACTGCCGTGGCAATGGCAAGACTGTGACACATGGCAGCCCCAAGAGGTGTCCACTGCACAGTCACACGACATTGCAGCACTGCCGTGGTGACGGCAAGACTGTGACACATGGCGGCCCCAAGCCGTGTCCACTGCACAGTCACGCGACATTGCAGCACTGCCGTGGCGACGGCAAGACTCTGACACATGGCGGCCCCAAGCGGTGTCCACTGCACAGTCACGCGACATTGCAGCTCTGCCGTGGCGACGGCAAGACTGTGACACATGGCGGCCCCAAGCGGTGTCCACTGCACAGTCACGCGACATTGCAGCACTGCCGTGGCGACGGCAAGACTGTGACACATGGCGGCCCCAAGCGGTGTCCACTGCACAGTCACACAACATTGCAGCTCTGCCGTGGCGACGGCAAGACTGTGACACATGGCGGCCCCAAGCGGTGTCCACTGCACAGTCACACGACATTGCAGCACTGCCGTGGCGACAGCAAGACTGTGACACACAGTGGCCCAAACGTGGGGGGCTCTTCCATTCCTGTATTACTTGATCGAATAAGTCTGTAGGTCAAACGCCCTTGCCAATTACAGTTGCTAGACTTTAAAGTGAAAATGCATTTTCTTGCCCTCACCATTTAAAAGCCAAAGCTCAGAACTTTGAGTTTTAAGTGAAAGTCCCAAATGATGGGATTCAATTTCTCTCCCCCAGGTCACAGCCAAAGGGGCTGTCATGCAGGAAGATGAGGGGCCGCACAGGCACTCTGGGGACCTGGGGCTTTCTTTCCTCAGGAGGCCCAGGGGCGCGGGTGAGGTGTCGGCTGCTTTGCACCCAGGCCACGCTGCTTCCAGGGGCCTTGTGGCTGGCAGAGTGGACCTGACGTTTCCCAGACGCCGTTGCGGGGGGCTCCTGTCCTGGGGAGGGCAGATTTTCTCCTGCGTGTGGGTAACTTGTAAGGTGGCAAGGCTGCGTTCCCCGGACCCCCGTCTGCGAGGATTCTCTGAGGTCCAAGTTTCCAACGCCTTTCTCTGGAAAGGTTTTGCCTTTGCTTCTCCCAGAAGCTTGGGTTGCCAGGACTCCCTCAAACTAAATTTTTGGCCTGGGGTTTTTCCAGTCATCCAGTGAGCATGAGTTCTGGCCACACTGCCCCTGAGGTGGGCTTGTGACTGGAATTTCCTGGGGTGACCTTTTTCTGCTTTTCCCACTGCTTCCAGAGCCAAGGTGACGTGCCCACTGTCTCCCAGCTGGGTGGGCTTCCCCAGGCCATCTGTGGGGCAGTCGCCTCCTTGATCCTCCCGTGGGCAGGTCTCACGTCCCCTTTGCCTCTGGCTCCCTGTGTGCGTGGCTCACTCAAGCCAATGGGAAAACCCCAGAAACTCTACAGAGAAGTAGGTAAAAATCCATGGACAGAGTGTGTAGAACAAGATAACAAATGGCTCTGAAATATAGGGAAAGAGGCTCGTAGTAAAGAAATGCAAATACAAGCTATGCAGAGATGCAGTTTCTCACATATCAGACTGGCAGCGATTCAAAAGCGCGACTGCAGTGGAGGAGGCCGTGGGAAACTGGCTCCCTCAGACACTAGGAGGGAAACTGTCCTTCACCCGAGGGAGCGGAAGGTGGCAGTAGCTAACAAAATTACACTGGCTTTGCTCCTTGACCCAGCGATTCCATTTCTAGGAATTTCCCCCGAGGTGACACCTCTGCAAATAGGGAACAGTGCATGCTTGAGGGATGCAGCACAACCTCATTTGTCACAGCGAGACACTGGGAATGACCTGAGTGCTCATTCACCAGGCAGGGCTGTGCAAATGGGAACAGCCACAGCGTGGGGCATCATGTGGCCGTGGGGAGCCTGGGGAGCCTAGGGGACCTGGGGGGACTGGGGAGAACTCAGGGAGTCAGAGCACGGGAGTACAGACAGGCTGCTCATTGTGGCAGGTGCAGCGCCGAGGGCGTCTGCAGGTGGGTGAGAAGGGGGTGTAAGGGGACACACACACACACCACACATGCACATGCAAACCACACACACAAATCACACACACACGTAAGCCACACACACAAATCACACACATCAGACACACCACACATGCACATGTAAACCACACACACAATCACACACCACACACAAGTAAACCACACACACAAATCACACACATCAGATACACCACACATGCACATGTAAACCACACACAATCACACACCACATGCACCATACACGCACATGTAAACCACATACAAATCACACACACTACACACACACTTAAATCGCACACACAAACCACACACATCAGACACACCACACATGCACATGGAGACCACACACACAAATCACACACACCACATACACACATAAACCACACACACACATATCACACACATCATACACACACATAATCCACACACACACAAATCACGGCACACACCATACACGCACATGTAAACCACACACACACAAATCATATACATGCACACACACCACACACGTCAACTATACACACAAAAATCACACATTCCTTCACTACACAGGCATATATAAAGTACACACAGAAATCACACAGGCAGACACACTACACATGCATATGTAAATTACACACACATGAACTACACACACAACCTATACACACAAATCATACATGCAACTACACATACATATAAATGATACACAAACTATTCACACACAAACTACACACATAAACCACACACACACATAAACCACACAAACCACACACACAAACTATACACACAAACTGTTCACACATATAAAAACACACACAAAGTACACCCCAACTATACACACAAACCACACACACATATAAACCACACACACAAAGTACACACACAAACCATACACATACATATAAACCACACACACAAAGTACACACACAAACCATACACATACATATAAACCACACACACAAAGTACACACACATAAACTATACACAAACTACACACACACATATAAACCACATACACAAACTATACACAAACACATAAACTACACACACAAACTACATACACATATAAACCACACACGCTAAGTACACACTTGTAAACTGCACAAACTATACACACACAAAGTGCACACACATAAACTACACACAAACCACACACACATACAAACCACATACACAAACTATACACAAACACATAAACTACACACACAAACTACATGCACATATAAATCACACACTCAAAGTACACATTCATAAACTACACACACAAATTATACACACATATAAACCACACACACAAAGTACACACATGTAAACTGCACACACAAACTATACACACATATAAATCACACACAAAGTATACACATGTAAACTGCACACACAAACTATACACACACAAATAAACCACACACACAAAGTACACACACATAAAGTACACACGAACCACACACACATATAAACCACATACACAAACTATACACAAACACATAAACTACACACACAAACTACACGCACATGTAAACCACACACACAAAGTACACTTTCATAAACTACACACACAAACTATACACACATATAAACCACACACACAAACCACACACACAAAGTACACACATGTAAACCGCACACACAAACTATACACACACATATAAATCACACACACAAAGTACACACACATAAACTACACATGCAAACTGTACACACACGTATAAACCCCACATACAAAGTACACACATGTAAACTACACACAGAAATGATACACATATAAACCACACACACAAACTACACATACATAAACTACACACAGAAACTATACACACACATATAAACCACACACACAATCTACACATACATAAACTACACACACATAAATCACACACAAACTACACACACAAACTCTACACACACATATAAACCACACACAAACTACACACACAAACTCTACACACACATATAAACCACACACACAAACTACACACACATAAACTTCAGAAACTACACATTCATATAAACGATACACACACAAACTACACACACATATAAACCACACACACAAACTACACACACATAAACTGCACACAGAAACTATACACACACATACAAACTATGCAAACTATACACACCCATATAAACCACACACACAAACTACACACACATAAACTTCACACACAAACTACCCATTCATATAAATCATACACACACAAACTACACACACACATATAAACCACACACACAAAGTATACACACATAAACTACACACATATAAACTACACATGCAAACTATACACACATAAACTAAACACACAGACTACACACATATAAACTACATATGCAAAGTGTACACATGCACATAAACCACACACACAAACTGTACACACAATATAAACCATACACACGAGCTACACACACATGTAAACTACATACAGAAACTACACACACACATAAATAACCACCAGGTGGGAGGAGTGGGTGGAGTGAGAAGTCAGAGAATCCTTTACATATGTGTTGACTTTTGAAACACGTAAATGTTTACACGTTCAGAAATAGAATTAAATTGACAAACACAAAAAATTGAACATTGAATTCAAACAGAAATCAACGAACCTTAAACAATTGACAGCAACACCAGATGGAAACAAGAATGGAAGCGGCTTTCGAAGGGGCCTCTGGCTGTGGGGACCCACAGCTCCGCGTCGCAGGCCGGTTTTGTCGCAGCAGCAGCGCTGCTGTGGTCGTCTGAAACCACTGTCTGTGGATTAAGGGCTGGTCACCCCCAGCAGCTTGGTGGTCCTCCTCGGAACCAGGACTCTTTCTCTCGCTGGGAGGTGGGAGATAGGGATGTGGAACGGGAGACAAAGAGGGTTCCTGGGGGTTTGTGCTTGGACCGGAAGCGGCAGCAATAACTCATAATTCAAAAAAATCCATTTTCTGTCTCTAACCACTGAAAGGAGCTAACATTGGTGCTACCCAAGCACACAGGCACATGGGTGGTTTCCAAAGCTGTGCGGCACGATGGGGCCTAAGTCCAGATCTGGGTGGAGGTGGGCACAGGATGAGCCAGAGTATGGATCGCGTCGCGCCAGGAGGGCGGACGCACTTGAGGACAGACGGGGATGCCTCAACAGGCCAAAAAGGCCAGGTGGAAGGGGCTCTGGTGGCCAAATTTGAGACATAGGATGAAGAGCACTGGATGAACAGTATAGTCCATGGCAGCCCTAGAAGGAGGGAGCACTTCCTCTTAGAACAATCCAGCCAACGTGGGAGAGGCGATGGGTTTGAAAGTCCCCATTTGTGCACTCCCCCTGGAATGAACACATTCAGGTGAAGATCAGCAGCGGATGTTGAAGTCGGCTGAATAGCATCCCCAAGGCAGGTGCCTGTCCTAAGCCCCAGAACCTGTAATCACAGGTCCCCTTGTATGGCAAGAGGGGCTTTGCAAATGTGGCTAAGTGAGGGACCTGGAGATGGGGAGGCCACCCTGGATTATCCAGGTGGGCCCTGGTGATCTTCAGGGTCCTTTTAAGAGGGAGGCAGGAGGGTCAGAGCCTGAGGAGGGGATGCAGTGATGGACGCGGAGCTTGGAGGGATGGGGTTTGGAAACGGAGGAAAGGGCCACACATGTACCCAGGAACACAGGTAGAAGGAATGCAGCCCTGCCGACACCAATCTCGGCCCGGTGTGACCCATTTTAGACTTCTGGTCTAGGGAGAGAACACACCTGTGTTGTTTGTGGTAATCTGTTACAGCAGCCACAGGCAACTAACTCGGGTGCCAAAGCCATTGAGTTAAGGGCTGTTGGGGAACAGGATATTCACGCTCCTAGGACCACCAGTTACAAAGGGGAGGGGGGCTTACGCAGGAGCAGCTGGCGACAGTCCTTCCCCCATGACTGGATGTAGCATCACCTGGGAGGGACAGCTGACATGTCCCCTGCTGTGACAGGCGGAGGACAGCGTCTCCTGTGAGTGTTGCTGCACAAAACACCACACCCGAATTTCATGCTGGGCCAGTCCGGGTTATGCTGCATCCTGCTGGACAGCTGGCCAGACCCTGGAAGCCAGTGGTGTCACTAAAGGAAAAGAGCTCATCTGGTGTAAGAGGCACCGGAGAGCCCTGTCAATGCCTGCAATGTGTGTTTATCTGGGACTTTTGGATCCTATATACGTATATGTGGCTGGAAAGGACAATTTTGGAGAATTGGGACATCTTGAGTATTTGCTGCGCACTAGGCATCATTATCGTGTCCGTGTTAACAATGAGTTATGTTTTAGCAATGCTGGAGATGTGTGTGTCTCTGTGTCTGTGTCTGCCCCACAGCCGTGGGGGTGAGGGAGGAAGCTGGAGTGCAGGGCACCCTGGTGCTGTTCTCGCAACTGTGTTCTGATTGCCTCTCTTGTGTGCGTGCTCCGTGAGCCCCTCTGCAAGTCCCCCGCTAGCATGGCCTGGGGATCCTCTGCCTGCTGTTCCCATGACCAGGATGATTCTTCTTTGCTTCTGGGTCTCACTCTGTTGCCCAGGCTGGAATGCAGTGGCATCATCTCAGCTCACTGCAGCTTCGACCACCTGGGCTCCAGCGATCCGCCCCCTCGGCCTCCCAAGTAGCTGGGATTACAGGTGCACGCCACCACGCCTGGCTAATTTTTGATTTTTATAGAGATGGGGTTTCGCCATGTTGCCCAGGCTGTTCTCAAACTCCTGTCCTCAAGTGATCCTTCTGCCTCTGCCTTCAAAGTGCTGGAATTACAGGCGTGAGCCACCTTGCTCGGCCTTCTCCTTCACTTTTTTTGGGAAGTAGGGAAATAAAAACGCACAGCACCATCTTTTTCCAGTTTGGGGAACTAGCTGGGTGATGAATGGAAGCATATCCGTGTTGTCCTGTGGAATTCCTCATGTGTGTACTTGACGGAGGCAGACAGCAGCAGAACCTGGAGCCCACACCCTGTCCTGGAGGTGTGGGGGATGCTGCGTCTGCATCTCTGGGGGGACCGGGCTCTTGCATTCAGCCTCGGCCTGCAGTGCCCATAGGGACCTGAGGAAGAGCAGTCTGGGCTCCCTAGCTTTGGCTGTATAAAACTCCTTGCACCTGGGTGGCCTAAAACACCAGCTATCTTATTTAGCCGATGCTTGTTGGATCAGGTGACAGCTTCCCTGGTCTCAGCTGGTGGCAGTCTCTCTGGTCAGCCGGTGGCTTGGAAGTTCTAGATGGTCTCCCTCCCTTGTTTGGTGCTGGGCTTGATGTCAGCTGGAGAGATGGGAATGACCGGGCTGGTGTCACCTTCCAGAGCCCCAGCACCTTCACGTGCAGGAGTCACAGGCTTCCTGCAAGCAAGGGGGAGCCAGCCCCGGGACGCAGTCAGAGGTGGTGCCCTAAGAAGCACAGCAGTGCCCAAAGCTTTGTGCAAAGCAGGTCCCTGCCTGGGGCCTCCCAGGCCCATGTGTGGCCTTGTCCCTGCTGCCCCCTGTCTGCCGCCCACCTCCGACTGGATGCTCCAACTGGAGCTCCAGGAATCATCCTGGTCATGGGAACAGCAGGCAGAGAGGATCGTGCCCCAGCAGGCCATGCTGGCAGAGGCACTTGCAGAGGGGCTCACGGAGCGAGAACAGAAGAGAGGAAATTAGAACATAGTTGTAAGAACAGTGCCAGGATGCCCTGCACTTCTGCTTCATGTGAGTGTATGAGGAAGAGAGGCCTCTCTCCTGTGCCTGCGCTTGGTGAGCCCCACTGCGAGTTACCTGCCACCATGGCCTGGTAGGGGGTGATCCCCTCTGCCCTGCTTCTCCAGCCTCTGTGGCACTGCAGGTCGCAAGGCCAGGCTCCTGTCAAGGGGTGGAGAAAGATGGTCTACTCCCCGATGGAGTCTCTGAGTTATATGGAAAGATGTAAAGGGGTGTGCACACAGCATGTGGGGTGGGGGGCTTGCAGCTGTTTTTGCCCCTTAGCACACACCCCACTCAGCCATCAGTGAAGCGTCTGCTGCATGCCGGTGAACCTCTGGGTTCCGGGCTGGGCAATGTTTGGGACAGGGGACATTCCAGTGTGGAGAGCATCTGTCCATGGCTCACAGGACTTGGCTCATGCACCTCCAGCTGCAGAGGGCCAGGCTGAGATCCCACGTCACAGGTGTTCCCCGTGTGGCCGGGACACCAAAGCAGGCCCGTGCCTGGGATGCTGGGACCCTGCTGATGGTCATCCAGATAGCCCTGCAGACCTTCCGCAGCCTCCCAGGGCCCAGGGGCCTCCGCCTGGCCTCCCCGTGTTCGTCAAGGTCTCATGCTCACCAGCCTTCCTGGCCTCTCTGCTGCCACTCAGGTGTGGGTGCATCCCTCCATTCAAAAGTCTCCTTGCACATTTAATCCCACTTGGTGTCTCCTCTGCAGAGGACCTGGAATAAGATGGCATGAAAACCAGAGTGAGAAGGGCTATGAGGGTGGGAGAGGGCTATGAGGTGGGCAGGAGAGGGGTGTGAGGCAGAAGGGAGAGGGGTGTGACGCGGGTGGGAGAGGGGTGGGAGGCGGGCGGGAGAGGGGTGTGAGGCGGATGGGAGAGGGGTGTGAGGCGGGCTGGAGAGGGGTGTGATGTGGGCTGGAGAGGGGTGTGATGTGGGCTGGAGAGGGGTGTGAGGCAGGCGGGAGAGGGGCGTGATGCAGGCGCGAGAGGGGTGTGATGTGGATGGGAGAGAGGTGTGAGGGGGGCGGGAGAGGGCTGTGAGGCGGGTGGGAGAGAGGTGTGATGCGGGTGGGAGAGGGGCTTTACGCAGGCGCGAGAGGGGTGTGATGCGGGCGCGAGTTGAGTGTGACATGGGCGGGAGAGGGGTGTGACACAGGTGGGAGAGGGGTGTGAGGCAGACGGGAGAGGGGTGTGACACGTGGGAGAGGGGTGTGAGGTGGGGGGAGGGGGTGTGACACGGGTGGGAGATTGGTGTGAGGTGGGGGCAGGGGGTGTGACACGTGGGAGAGGGGTGTGAGGCAGACGGGAGGGGGTGTGACACGGGTGGGAGAGGGGTGTGAGGTGGGGTGAGGGGGTGTGACACAGGTGGGAGAGGGGTGTGAGGCTGACAGGAGGGGGGTGTGACACGTGGGAGAGGGGTGTGAGGTGGATGGAAGGAGGTGTGACAAGTGGGAGAGGGGTGTGAGGCGGACAGGAGGGGGGTGTGACACGTGGGAGACGGGTGTGAGTTGGGGGAGGGGGCGTGACACGGGTGGGAGAGGGGTGTGGGGCGGACGGGAGGGGGTGTGACACGGGTGGGAGAGGGGTGTGAGGCGGGTGGGAGGGGGGTGTGACACATGGGAGAGGGGTGTGAGGTGGATGGGAGGGGCGTGTGACACGTGGGAGAGGGGTGACTAGTTTTGGGAAAGTGGCCAGGGAAGGCCTCTCTTGAGGAGGCTGTGTTTATTGAGACTCCTGTCCAAGTGATGGAACATGGGAACAGAAAACCAAATACTACATGTTCTCGCTTGTAAGTGGGAGCTAAACATTGAGTACAGATGGACACATGGACACCGGCCCGCTTGAGGGCGGAGGTGGGAGGAGCGTCAGCATAGAAAAACCACCTGTTGGCTGGGTGCAGTGGCTCACGTCTGTCATCTCAGCACTTTGGGAGGCCAAGGCAGGTGGAACACGAGGTCAGGAGTTCAAGACCAGCCTGGCCAAGATAGTGAAACCCCGTCTTTACTACAAATACACAAAAAAATTTAGCCAGGTTTGGTGAAGGGTGCCTGTAATCCCAGCTACTCGGGAGGCTGAGGCAGAGAATTGCTTGAACCAAGGGGGCAGAGGTTGCAGTGAGCCGAGATCGTGCCACTGCACTCCAGCCTGGGTGACAGAGCAAGACTCCATCTCAGAAAAAACAAACAAACAAACAAAAAAAAACCACCTGTCGGTACAATGCGCAGTGCCTGGGTGATGAAATAATCTGTACACCAAGCCTCCGTGACATGCAGTTTACCCGTGTAACAGACCTGCAGGTGTATACCTAGAATCTCAAATAGAAGTTGGAAGGAAAAAAAAAGAAACAACAAACAAAAACAATCTGAGACTCCCTGAAGGATGAGAACGGGCTGAGCGGGGCCACAGGAGCCCGCACCGGGTCCGCGGAAGGAATTCACACTGCTGCTTCAAGGTGTGGAAGGCGACCCGAGAGGCGGTACACAGACGGCGAGGGAGCGTGCTGTGAGAAGCTCAGGGAGGCAGGGCCTGGGAGGCCAGGTGAGGTGTGGGCACAGCCAGGGAGAAACACTGGTGACCCGAGACGCACGGGAACTCGCAGTCACTTTATCCATCTGCCTTGTCCGCCACATCTCAGGGGGCAAACAGAGCAGGTTTGTGTCAGCCGAGGAAACCCTTGATCTTCTAAGGGGACTGCTAGCCATCTCGCCCCCATCTTTGCCGCAGAAAAGACGGTATCCTTTTGCCGTGGAGGATAAACCAACGTCTGGGGAGAGGAGGGGCCGCAGGTTTATTTCCCAGAAATGTGTGCAAATCTGCAGACACAGCAGGGAGGTTTTGCTCTCCTGCATGTCTCCAGCGGGCTCTGGCTTGCAAGAATGTCTCATGCAGGCATTCTTCCAGTGCCCTGTGCTTTGAAAAATACGCAGAAAAGCCAGAATTATGGAGGGCAGCCTCCTGGGCTTGTGGATGTTGGGCAGGTGGAGGGAGACGTATGGAATCTTCTGGTCTCCAGGCAGCTGTGCAGTGCACCGGTCTGTGGGATCAGTCAAGGAAGTTCAGAGCAGGATGAAGGAACCGCTCCAGGGATTTCCAGCAGAGAGGGGTTTGTTGCAGGGAAGGAGATGGATCCTGGGACCCTGGAGCTCGCACCCCTGCTCTGTCTGCTGCAGTGCTCCGTGGGTACACAGCCCAGCCCAGGGTCGCCCCGGCCATGTGCCCCCAGCACCAGCCCCTGGGCCTTTTATATGTTTCTGGGATGCTGCCTGTCTTCCAGTGCCATCAGGAAAGGCTCGGGGAGCTGGGCCTCACTGGACGCCATACCCCTCCCGCTGGAACAGTGCGTAGGTGTTCCACCCTCCAGGGCAGCCTGACCGCAGGACGTATGCCCCTGCCCCACAGGTGCCCAGCACTTCATAGCTCACAGAGCCCTTCGACCTCTCTGGCCTGGGATGACCCACTCAACACCCCCAGGAGGAGACACTGGTGCTGTCTTCAGCAGGGAAACCTGGGCTTGGATAGGTGCAGCGGCTCCTCCAAGGTGGCCAAGTTGCCTGGCCCTCGCTCATGAATCCTGAGTAGCCCCTCCTGTCACTGCCACCCACTGCTCTCCCTGGAGGCCTGTGTGTCCTTTGTTCTCTCCTGAGGATGGCTGTGGCCTCCTCCTGTTCCTGACAGGGCCTGGTGCCCACTGGCTGATGTCAGACTTCAGGCCTGAGGGGAGGGGCGTTTGTGCTAACAGGAGGCAGAGGGCAGCCTGCCAGTCTGGCCCTGCGGCCACCTGAGCTGTCCCCTGGGACCCGTGGCTTCATGACTCTGACCCAGTGGATGCTGTCTTCATAGTCTGAGTGGGAGCCAGGTTTGACCTCGGAGTGCCTGGGGCATAGAGTCCCTGTCCTCTGGAGGAAGAGATGGTCATCCCTTTTCATGCTGACTGGCCCCAGGGCAGGACCTGATCTTTTGGACCCTAAAAGGGACAAGGCCTGGTGGCAGAGCAGAGCTGGGGCTCAGGAGAGGGAGATGGGTGGGAGGAAGGAAGGAAGAGGAAGAGAAGGAGGAAAGGGGGAGACGAGGAAGGGGGAGGAAGAGGAGGAGGAGGAGGAGAAGGAGGAGGAGGAGGAGATGACTCAGGCACCCACGGCATTACTGTGGCAGGCTGGCCCTCGGTTTCCCCATCAGTAAATGAAGAGATGGGGTCAAGGGGCCCAGGCCCCCTCCCAGATCTGAGACCTGCGCATCAGGCTGTCTGTATTCAGAGGAAGCCGGGGATGGCAGCTCCCAGCCGTGGGCTCGGCCTTCATTCACCGTACAGGCTCATCCATTCACCCAGTGAACCCTCCTGAGTCCCTTCATGAGGGCGGCCTCGCAGGGACTTTGATCTCGGCTCTGCCCTGTCCTGGCCTTGGGACCCTGGGTGAGCTGAGGCAACCCAGTTTCCTGGTCTGTGACTCCAGGCTCTGTCCTCGCCCCATCGCTCCCCATCGTGGCACAGGTTCGAGGATGTTGGCTTGCCTGGCCTCCTGAGGGCCTTCTGGGGTTAAAGTCTTCTATCCTGAGGCTGAGACCAGGGCTGGGAAGGAGGCTCAGCACCTGTGGACTTTCTCCTCCCTCTCCATGGCTGAGTCTTGATTTACAGCTGGAAGGGCAGACGGAGGCATCTTGGTGTATACACAGCCCTGCTGAGCCACATCCCGGGTCTCCTCCCTCTGCGATGCCATAGCAGGGGCGCCTTCTGAAAGCCCTCTGGATTGAGGCAGCAGGATCTATGGTGGAACCTGCCCCGGCGTCGCCAACGCCCCTAGGACCCCAGCACACTGACTGGGGCGCATCCCTGTGTCGTTTCTGCCCGGAGAGGAGCAGAGGCCAGGCTGCTGCTCTGGGAGGTGAGTGTCATGCCTGGGAACACAGCAGGGACCCCAGGGAGGGAGAGCAGGTGTTTGCTCCCTGGGCTCTGCCTGGTGGTCCTGACAGCAGTCCTGACTGTTGCGAAGGCTGTTTTTTGGTGGCTTCCTTAGGGTCCTCGCTGTGCTCCTGGTCCCAGCACCATCTGCTCTCCTTCCTGGTTATTCAAATGACCTGGCTCCTGTTGCTGTGTCCTGGGTCCTCGCCTCCCCTGAGATGGACTCTGTTCAGGCTAGACTGCCTCAAGGGACCCGCTTCAGTCTACTTGTGACAGAAAAGGTTAGCTGGCTCCTGGGAAATGTCAGGGGATAAGTCAAAGCTGGCCAGCGGCAAGGCCCAGTGACGCCCTGTCATTTTATGACTCCCTTTTCTTAATCAGTTGAGGAGAAAAACAAGCAATGAAGGATTTTCCATGGCAACCACCAGCAGGGCAGTGTTCTCTCCCTACCTGAGCTTTTTTTTAAGAGGAGGGGTCTGGCCAGAGGCTGCTGACCCTGGCCCCAGAGGGCAGGGGTCGAGTGTCCTGGAGTGTGACTCCCAGGCACCCGGGCTTGGGCTGGGCCCCTGGAGCAGGTGCAGCTAATCTGGCCAATCTACTCCTTCACACTCATGGAGCAAATGGGGAAACAACCCAGAGAGGGGCAGCCCAGGAAGCAAATTTGTAGAGCCTGACCCTCTGAGAGAGCTGTCAGAAGGATACTAGTCTTCTAAACCAGAAACTTATTCATATAATAATAATAATGTTTATAATAATAACATTATTAATTCCTTCACCATCCACCCACTTACCCTCTTACCCATCTGTCCATTCAACTCATCCACCCCCACATCCAGCCAGCTTCCATCCTATCATACATTCATCCACCTACCCGTCCACCCCTTCTTCCTTCCTTTCTTTCGTCACCCACCCATCCTCTCACTCATTCATTCATCCATCCACCCATCCATCCATCTACCCATTCATCCACCCATTCATTTATTTACTCACTCTCCCATCCACCCATCCATTCATCCTTTCTTTCTTTCATCATCCATCTATCCACCCATCCATCCATTCATCCACATATTCGTCCACCCATTCATTATTCACTTATCTATCCATCCTTCCACCCATCCATCCATTCATCCACCTATTCTATTCGTCCACCTATCCATTCATGCTTTCTTTCTTTCATCATCCATCCATCCATCCATCCATCCACCTATTCCATTCACCCACCTATCCATTCATTCACTCACTCATCCATCCATCCACCCATCCGTCCTCCCTTTCTTTCATCACCCACCCATCCATTCACTCACCCATCATCCATCCACCCAGCCAGCCAGTTTCCATGTCTACATCCAACTACTCACTCATCCATTTACCCACCAACCTAACTAAACTTGTTTCCTCCCATGTAACACAATACTTATCCACCCATCCATCCGTCAACCTACCCAACCACCCCATAACGCGCCCACATCCTTCCCTTTACCCATCTGTACACATACTTATCTACCTCTCCTATACCCATATACCCATGACATCCACCCACCCATTCATGCATGATCCTCCTACACATTCACTCACTTACCCATTGACTGCTTCACCTACTTATCCACTACTCCCCATTCAGCCATACACTCATAAAACTTCTATCCATCCATTCTATCCACCTACTCAAACAACCACCTATCAACCCATCTACCCATCAGACTGTGGTCCACTCACCTATCCATCCACCCATCTACCCATCTACCCACCGACCCATCATCCATTGTCTATCCACCCATCTATCCATCTGTCCATCCAAACACCACACATCACTGGTATGACTTTAGAAGCTTTGTCCACAGATTCCAACTCAGCTTTGAGATTTGGATCATCCAAATTTGCTTCCTGGGCTGCCCCTCTGGTCTGTTTCCCCATCTGCTCCACGAGTGTGAAGGAGTAGATCAGCCAGATTAGCTGCGCCTGCTTCAGGACTCCAGCCAAGTTTGGGTGTCTGGGAGCCACACTCCAGGTCTCACCAGGAAGACTATGCCAATCATGGAGAAGTCTGATAAATGCAAAACCCACTTGAACCCCCTGGGTGGGGTTTATAGATGTGCATGAAAGGAATAGGATCAAGTTCTATATGGGGTCGAGGGCTCAAAACCAAACTCTAAGATCTGGAGTCCCTGTAACAAAACATAAATAGGTTTCTGCAACTCCCGTCTGTGTGGTAGATGAAAATACCATCAGTACGCTGACTGATAATGCTAGTATTTTCTAACCTCCAATTACCTAGATAATGCTGCTCAAATCTCTTAGTTGTTTCCTCAGTGAAAAAAGAAATGTTTAAACCCAAGGGAATATTTAGAATTAGGTACAGAAATGTTTTATGGTATCAACTTCCAGTATTCATAGTTTTGAGTGAAGGAATCTGGGCATGTTTGGTATTATAAGCATTTGTGATGTTTAAGAAATTTGGGGTTATTAGAAGGACAGTTCGGCCTTTTAATTAAAATTTGAAATATATACTTAATTACTTGATTTAGACTTATGACTATCAGTTGAAATCATAAAGTTTATATAAAATGTTGGAAAATTTAAGAGAATCTAAGTTTCATCATATTAGGAAGTTATGTTTTTAAATTTAAAAGAACTACTTAATTTGGGAAGATTTGTCAGGCAAGATCTAATGTATTAAGTTTGTTAATGTAATTAAGTTTTTGAAGGTGTTTTATTAAGTAGTAGGAACTACTGCTAATGAAATAACTTTTAGAAAGAATTTTGAGATTTCTTAAACTTATAATGATAAGATTTGTAGATTTGGCTCATAGTTTAAGGGAGAAAAACATACTTTTCTGATTTTGTATCATCAGTACATACAAATTTTAATTTTTTAAAACCCAAAGCAATTTCTGAATAATCTATCATATGTGCAAAAAAAGCCTTTGAGGACATAAAATAAATATCACATTAGCACCATGCCGACTTATTCTCCCATCCATCCATCCAACCACTCACTTATTTACCCTTTACTCTCCCTTCTCTCTATCCTCCAATCCACCTGTCCTTTAACACTCCCACCTACCCACCCATTTATTCATCCATCCATCCATCCATCACCCACCCACCTTTCCATTCATCATTCATCCACCCATTTCCATCCTCCAATCATCCATCCATCCATCCATCCATTTCCATCCTCCATCCATCCATCCATCTGTCTGTCCGTCCATCCATCCATCCATCCTTCCATCCATCCATCACCCACCCACCTATCCATTCATCATTCATCCACCCATATCCATCCTCCAATCATCCATCCATCCATCCATCCATCCATCCATCCATCCATCCATCCATTTCCATCCTCCATCCATCCATCCATCTGTTGGTCCGTCCATCCATCCATCCATCCTTCCATCCATCCATCATCCATCCATCCTTCCATCCATCCATCATCCATCCATCCATCCATTTATCTACTTGTCCATTCACCCATTCACCTATCTACCTAGGAAATATTTATTAAAGGACCTAGTAGGCAGCAGACACTAGAAAAAAAGTACCTACACCTAAAGGGGAGCTGCTTCTGGACCCACAGACTTTTCTGACTTCTCAGTGTTGGGAGAGACTAGCCCTGTCCCTCTGCTCTGTCATTTTTCCTTGACTTTGCCATCTCGCCCCCTACAGTGATCTGACGATCATGAGCACAGTGGTTAGCATGTGGGCTATGGTACCAATGGCCTGGGTTGAAATCCCACCCCTACTATTTGCTCGCTGGATGACATTGGTCCACGGAGACAAAGGAGCACTGACCTCATAGGCTCCTGGTGAGGGCCACGGGTCAGTGCGTGTGGTTGTGTGTGGGAGCAGAGCCTGGACTGTGGCCTGCCCCTGCCAACACTGCCCATGCTGAGCTACAGCCAGGCATCCTGCTAGATGCTGGCTCATCCCGACATGTGTGTGCATTGAGGGGGGGTAGCCTTTGGGGGTTCTGGACACAGACCAAAGTCCTACTGCGGCTGTGAAGAGAGCTAAGTGGGGCTGAATGTGTTGCTCTGAGAAATGAAGAGAAGGGGGTGGCTTTCCATTTTGAACAGCCTCTGCCCCACCAAAGGGAATCCAGTCTCTCTGAGGGCTTTCCTCTAAGCTCTCCCTGCACTGCCCTTAGGGCCTGACAGAGCCAGGTATGGGCTGCAGGGACTGACCAGGAATAATGAGCTGGCCTTGGAAGGCACAGTAGACAGCCCATTCCCATAGCTCCTCCCAGGGAGCACAGGGTGCAGAGAGGCCTGGGGAGAGGCTGTTTGTGTCCCCAACGTGGGTCCCTCAGGTACCTGGCTCCAGCCCTGGCTCCAGATGGGGCTCGAGAATCAGCCATCTTCCCTGCGTTCTGCGGAGCTGCCCTGGTCCTGCGGCCCCATGGCCCCTGTGGTCATGTTGAATGCTCTCAGCTCCAGGTTCACCTGAGACCCTCTGCCTGCCTGTCCTGAAGGCTGCTACCCTGTGGCGTGGGGAGCTCCTACTGTCCCCATCCACCGCCATCTGCCAGGCCCATGGTCCCTCTGGTGCCAGGAGCCTGCTGGTCACTCTGCCTGTCCTCTGGGCAGCCTGGTGGGGATGGTCCCCGGGATCCTCAGAGCCTGCCCCTGCCCCACCCAGCTGCCTCCTCCAGGCTCTCACAGCGGGCAGGGCTGGTCCTGCATTATGTTCTAGAACAAGGCTGGGCACAGGCAGGGGGCAGGGGGCAGGGTGCAGGCACCAGGCAAAGCCTGTTTCCTGCCGTGGAGCTTGGGTAGGTGCAGAGCCAGCGAGTCTGAGATTCTTCTGTAAAGGGAGGGGACCAATATGTCCTCAAAGGGGGCTGGGGGGGGCGGAGCTGGAGTCTGAGTCAGTGGGGACAGGGGCACACTGAAGGGTGGTCAAAGCAGACTTTCTCCCATTTCTGTGACCGGGGCTGTGCCATGCCTTGGAGGAGAAGAGGTGCCTGCCTGGGCTCTTTCCTGGGCTCCTGTAAGAGGAGGTGCGATGGGGGGACTGGTCAGAGATTGTGGAGTCCTTCCGGAGCAGGGAGGTGTCTACCAGGCACAGCTGCAGGGCCTCTGTGGCCGTCACAGGTGCAGCCCCATGCATGACTCAGTCAAATTAGATGCCTTCAGGGAGGGCCCTGGCCTCCGTGCTTCTGGTCTCCTGGCAGTCTGGTCCCAGGACTGGGCTCACCCCTGGTCCCTCTGCACTTCTGCACCTGCACTCTCTCTGCACAGGGCAAGACAGCCCCTCCCAGACCACTGGGCCAAGCAGGGCATCCTTGTAAACAATATGATTTTATTGTCATGAAGTGAATGGCACACATGAATGGTAATGTGAGCCCCTGGAGCGACACGCTACTGCCACAACCCCAGAAGCTTCCTGGGTTCCTTCCTTCTCCCCTTGGGGACCACTCACCTGACTTTTGGGGTAATCATTTTCTGCCTTTTAGTCACAATTTTCCCACCTACGTAGGCACCCCTAAACAGATGTTTAGTTTTTGTCTGTTTTCGAATGCTACCTGGTGGGATCACATCCTGGGAATGCTTCCATGACTCGCTTCTATTGCTCAGATGACTCTTCTTTGCAGATGTGTGTAGCTGTTGCTGTTCATTTTCCTGGCTGTGTAGTATTCCATGGTATGCCTGCACCACTAAAGAAATGCTGTTGTGACCACTGTAAACATTGGAACCATCTTTTCCAAGCAGGTATTTACTGAAAATAGCCAGAGCTACTTTGTCAGCAGTTTGGACAGCTTCAACTTTACTAGATACTGCTGAATGATTTTCTAAAGTGCATACCCAGCAGCAACCTATAAAAGGTACTGTTGCTCCACATCCTTGTCAACACTTGGTTTTGCCTGAATTTAACATTTTTAAACTTCTTTTCCTTATTAGAAATGGGGTCTTGCTATGTCACCCAGGTTGGCCTCGAACTCCTGGGCTCAAGCAATTCTCCCAGCTTCCTGAGATTTTACCATTTTGACGGTCTAGTGAATGTGAAGTAGCACTAGCTGTGGTTTTAGTTTGCTGTGGTTTTAATTTGCATTTCCTTGGGAGGGAATGAGGTTCTACATCTTTGCTTATGTGTATTTGCCAACTGGATTTTCTTTTATGTGAAGCACCTGTTCAAGTCTTTGGTCCATTACATATTTTTTTGTTTTTTGGTGACTAGTTATGAGAGTTCTTTATATATTTCCTAAGTGACTCTTTGCCAATTATCCATCCTGCAGACATCTTCCAGTGTGTCTTATCTTTCCATTTCAATGTGGTGTCTGATGAACAGAAGTAGTACATTTTAATGAAGTCCAATTAATTCCTCTTTTGCTTTATGGCTTGTGTCCTTTGTGTCTTGCTTAAGGAATGTCTCTTTACTCTGAAGTCAGATTTTCTCCTTTATGCCTTTCCAAAGGATCTGTGGGTTCATCTTTCATATTTAATCCACCTAGTATTGATTTTTGATTTATAATTAATTTTTCTCAGCATTGACCTTTGTGGACAGTATAGAGCAGGAGTGTAAGTAATATTTTTCCCTCTATGGATAATCAGTTCTCCAAACTGATTTTAAATAGGACTGTCTTGTCCCCATCGATCTGCCTCTCTCCTCCAGCAGCCAGGCCTGCTCTGTTTCCGTCTGTTATGCGTTACCTGTGTGCCGACCTAATTGTCTGCTTTGCTAAGGCTTTAAAGGAAATCTTAGGGAACAGAAAGACCAACCTGCCCGCTTTTTATTCTTCATTAAGAATATTTTGGCTATCCCTGGCTCTTTTTAAAAAGTTAAAAAAGATCTTTATTGGGCACCAGAATCAGAATAGGTTCACAGTGGTGCCTGCTCCAATTCCATGTAAATTTTAGAATCATCTTGTTAAAGTCTACAAACACACACACACATACACACCCATGTGCACACACACGCACATACATGCACCCATGCACACACACATGCACATACATATGCACATGCACGCACACTCACACACATGCACACACCACTTAGGATTGTGATTGGCATTGTAGTGGCTCTACAAATCATTTCGGGGAAAAATTGGTATCTCTGTAATATTATTGAGTTTTCCAATCCATATACATGTTTATTTTTTGAAAACAAGTATGTTTTATTTCTCCATTTATTTAGATCTTCATTCATGACACGCAGTAAAATTTCTTATTTTTTCTCTGTGTATCTTGCACCTATTTTGTTAGGTTTATTCCTAGATACTTCTTGCCAGCTGTACTACTGTAATGGTCTCTGTGATGGTTAATTGTATGCCAACTTGGCTGGGCCACAGTGCCCAAGTGCTTGGTCAGGATGTTGCTGTGAGGCTGCTTTTCGGATAAGATACACACTGAAATCAGCTGACCTTCAGTTAGGCAGACGGTGCGCCATAATGTGGGTGGGCCTCGTCCAATCAGGTGAAGACCTGACTAGAACACAGACCGACCTCCCCAAGGGAAGAGGGAATTCTGCCAGCAAGTGGCCTTTGGACTCAAACTCCAACTGCTCCCTGAGTCTCCAGACTGTCGGCCTGCCCTGCAGACTTTGGACCTGCTACACCTCCACAATTATGTGGGCCAATTCCTTAAAAAAATCAGTGTCTCACGCCTGCAATCCCAGCACTTTGGGAGGCCAAGGCAGGTGGATCACGAGGTCAGGAGTTTGAGACCAGCCTGGCCAACATGGTGAAACCCCGTCTCTATTAAAGATACAAAAATTAGCTGGGTGTGGTGGCAGGTGCCTGTAATCCCAGCTACTTGGGAGGATGAGGCAGGATAATCGCTTGAAACTGGGAGGCAGAGGTTGCAGTGAGCCGAGATCATACCGCTGCACTCCAGCCTGGGTGAAAGAGTGAAACTCTGTCTCAAAAAAAAAAAATCAATAATCTCTCTGTGTACACAAACACATGTGCACACACACATATGCACGATGCGTACACACACAGGCACATGCATGCATGCACGTACACACACATCTTGTTGGTTCTGTTTCTCTGGAGAATCCTAACTAATACAGTATCTTTTTTTGTTTTTGTTTTTTTGAGACAGGGTCTCACTGTGTCACCCAGGCTGGAGTGCAGTGGCATGATCTTGGCTCACTGCCAAGCTCCGCCTCCTGGGTTCAAGCAATTCTTGTGCCTCAGCTTCTGAGTAGCTAGGACTACAGGCGTGTGCCACCATGTCTGGTTAATTTTGTATTTTTAGTAGAGATGGGGTTTCACTTTGTTGGCCAGGCTGGTCTTGAACCTTTGACCTCAAGTGATTTGCCTGCCTTGGCCTTCCAAAGTTCTGGGATTACAGGTATGAGCCACCATGCCCAGCCCTAATACAGCATCATTTAAAAAGTTATAGTTTCTATTTTTTTTGTTGCTCATATATGGCAATACAACAGATGTTTGCATTTTGGTTTGTATCTAGCAAACCTGCCAAACTCATTAACCCAAGTGCTTTATTTGCAGCTCCTTCTGAATTGTTCTTGACAGAATCAGACAGACCTGTGGTCAGTCACCCTCTTTTCAGACTTTACTCTGTATTTTCCTCTCTCTCCTTCCGGGTGTCAACATGGATGCGTGCCAGACCCTTTCTGCCGGCTTCCCCTCCTCCCATTTTCTCCTCCGTGCTTTCTGTCTGACTTCCTGTGCTGCATGGAGAACGGCTTCCGCTTCCCCCAGGCTCATCCATCCTCTCCTCTGCTGTGTCTGCTCTACAGTCAAATGCATTCATTGCCTTTGAATTTCAGTTATGTATTTTCATTCTAGGAGAGCTTCTCAGGGTGGGCATAGTTATTTTTCGAATCTTTTTGGTCCTTTAATTTCTCGTCCTCTGTGTGTGATAAGGCCATTATCTGATTATCTGAATTCCTTTTTTCTTGAGTCTGAGTCTCGCTCTGTCACCCAGGCTGGAGTGCAATGGGGCGATCTTGGCTCACTGCAACCTCTGCCTCCCGGGTTCAAGCAATTCTCCTGCCCCACCCTCCCAAGTAGCTGGGACTACAGGTGCATGCCACCATGCATGGCTGATTTTTGTATTTTTAGTAGAGACTGGGTTTCACCATATTGGTCAGGCTTGTCTCGAATTCCTGATCTCAGGTGATCTGCCAGCCTCAGCCTCCCAAAGTGCTGGGGGTCCTGTGGTACAGAAGGGATCTGTGTTTACTTCTGCCGTTTTCCTGAAGGCCCTGTCAGTCCCTACTGAACTCTAACCCAAGCTCTTGGAATAAAGCTTCTTTGTCAGTTTATCAATACTTTAAAGAAATGTTCACAAATTACCCAGGATTTATTTTATTTGATTTTGTTGTGTGGGAGGCATGAGTAAAGGTCATGGCCTGCCATAGTGTAGGAAAATGGAAGCCGTGGGCCTTGTTTAAAACAAGCTAAGAGGCGTCGAATGTAAGGAGTTTCCCGTTCCTTAGGTTGTGGGTGAACCTGTGCTCAGAACAGCCCAGATGGCTCTGCCAGGGTGGGAGCCACAGATGAGAGTCCCAGATGAGACTTCCGGCTTTCCTGCTGTGGTGTGTGCCCAGGTGCTTCTGATAGGACACTGCCAACAGCAACAACAAGGAATGCAGCTGCAGCAGCGGGGGCCCTGGGCAGGCGGCCTGCCCTCACTTAGGCCACCATGTGCCTGTCTAAGTGCGTAGGAGCCTGGAGCTGCCATCACTGCTGCTTTATAACTGTGGGCACCGAGGCTAAACAGTTTGCCCCTGGTCCCGGGCTGGGATTTGGCTGGGCTTGGCCGGCTCAGCCCCTGCAGGGTTCTCACCTCTGCACCTACCTGAACCTTCCTCTCATTCTCAGCTTCTGGTGAAAATGGAGCTTCTTCCCCAAGGCCCCGGGCCTGGCAGTCCTTCCCTGAACACCCCAGCATGGAAACAAGAGGCAGAAAGGTCTCAGCAGTGGGCAGTAAAGATGTCACATCCACCTGGCCAGGCCACTGTGGTCTTTGGAGATGGCCGTGGACTCGCTCTCATGGAGCTGGGAGCTGCTGGGTGGGCCCCACCTCATGGCTGCATGTAGCAGAAGCAGGCAGAAAATTTGAGATGTGGCAGAGGGTTGAATCCAAGGAAGTTCCTCAGAAAGTGCAGGGCCCCTCGGAAACAAGGGGCCCTCAGAAACAAGGGGCCCTTGGGTCCTCCCGGCTGGGCAGAAAGCCTGTCCCAGCCCCCCATGCTCTTGGAGCAGGCAACTTCTGAGGCTTCCATACTCCACTCCCAGGCCTGGCACTCCTGTCCTCCCTGGAGGGCATAGTGTCAGGAGGGTGCCCAGGCATCACTGGCTGCCTGCCTGCCTCCTCACAAGAGGAGGAGGCCTGGGCCCAAGGTGGCCATGACCAGCCAGCCCTGGACTCCTATGTGCAGCACTTGCTCCGCCACCCTTCCCTGTCACAGGGGCAAAGAGGCACAGGCCAGGCTAGAAGCGTGGAGTGTGAGGGGGTCATGGCTTTAGAGCTGAGAGACACTGGGGTGGTGGATTAATGTCGGCAGGGCTGGAAACAGAATCAGAAAGCAGGCCCAGGAGTCACCTCATGTGGAACATGTAGATTTCCAGGTGCACCTGCACTCCCAGATGAGAGACTTCCTGGTGCACCTGCACTCCCAGGTGAGACTTCCTGGAGCACCTGCACTTCCAGATGAGACTTCCTGGTACACCTACACTTCCAAATAAGACTTCCTGGTGCACATGTACTCCCAGGTGAGACTTCCAGGTGCACCTGCACTCCCAGATGCAGACTTCCTGGTGCACCTGTACTTCCAGATGAGACTTTCTGGTGCACCTACACTTCCACATGAGACTTCCGGGTGCACCTGCACTCCCAGATGCAGACTTCCTGGTGCACCTGCAATTCCTGGTGCAGACTTCTTGGTTCATCTGCACTTCCTGGTGAGAATCCCTTGGGCATCTGCACTTCCTGATGCACCTGCACTTCTAGGTAAGATGTTCTGCTGCATCTGCATTTACGGGTGAACTTCCTGATGCACCCATACTTCCTGGTGAGAACCCCTTGAGCACCTGCACTTCTAGGTGGAACTTCCTGGTGCACCTGCGCCTCCAGGCACAGACTCTCAGGTGAATTTCCAGGGAGAAGAGACCTAGGCTGCATTCCACAGGTGTCTGGCTTTTTTTGACCTTTGACCTTGAGTGTTGTCTTGGGAGGTAGGCTTTTCCAGGGTCAGTGAGGATTGAATAGGGTGGATAGACATGGTGGTAGCAGGTGCAGAGGAGGGACATGCAGACATTTGACATGGAGGGGGAGGACAAAGCCACCTGACCAAAGGTATCCCAGTCTCAACACAGCCAGGAAGCCTAGAATATGTGGAGGTGAACATATCCCCAGCAGCACTGTGGAGGGTCTCCTCTCCCCAACTCCAACTGCCCCACTGCCCCTGTTTGGAGGTGAGCACCTGGCTGAAGCTGCCCCCTCTCCTGGCCTGGCTCCGGCTCCTAAGCTGTCCTGTGGTTCTGCCTTCCCACTGGACTTGTCCCCAGGGAGGAGAGCCCTGGCTCAGTGACAGGAAGGTCTGGCTGCCAGATGGCCCATCCCTCAGGTCACCTAATACAAGGTGTCTGTCTGGCTGGCACCTGGGTCTCTGGGGTGTGTGTTAGTGCAGTTCAGTGAACCTCTCTCCTTGAGGCAGATCCAGGGTGATTTGTGGTGGGGTTTCTCAGTGAGCCAGGCTAGGAGACCCTCCCTGGGGAGGGCACCAAGCAGTGCCACCTGGGGTTGGGGCATCAGCCAAGCCTCAGCCCCTAAGTCCATGGCGTGACAGCTAGAGACATCCCCCATGTGTGAATGTGTTGTTTTGTTTTCTTAGTTATTTTAGAGAAAACGTTCCCGGAACATGCCACATGCAGAGGATGCTGGTTATCAGGCTACCTTTGCTAGACAGCTCCAGGTAACTGCATTTGCTCTGCCAATGTTGGCTTTTTAAAAATAGAAAACACATATAGACAAATCCATCACACACACACGCACAGACACACACACACACACAGACAAATCCATCACACACACATGCACAGACACATACACACAGAGTCAACGACATAGGCTCACAAGTCGAGCTCTTCGTCTGTTTATACTTAATGCAATTACTGATACATCTAAGTTTGGAGCTGCTGTTTTCTTTTACGTATACTGTTTGTTTGCAGATTCTGTGTATAACTTCTTTCCTTTCTTGCCGCCTTTTAGATGATTTTCCCCAGCTTACCTTGAGGATTTTCGAGCAAACAGACACGTTGAAAGAATAGACAAGGACCACTTGCATGCCCCTCAGTTAGATTCACCAACTGTCAATATTTTGCACTGTATGTATACACGTACATGTCTGTGTATACACATATACACATACAGTCACACATCGCCCGATGGCAGGGATGGTTCTGAGGAAGGCGCTGTTAGGCGATTTCGTTGCCGTGCGGGCATCATAGTGTGAACTTACTCAAACCCAGATGGCACAGACTCATCGCCTCCCACACGCCTGGGCTGTATGGCAGGACCTCCTGCTCCCGGGCTACAAACCCAGGCAGGGTGGTACTGTACTGAACGGTGCAGGTGATTGTAACACAATGGTAAGTATCTGTGCATGTAAACATACCTAAACATAGAAACAGTGTAGTAAAAATACAGTATAAAAGATAAAATACAGTACACCTGTACAAGGTCTGCTCTGTTCTAATCTTATGGGGCCACCATTGTATATGCCATCTGTTCTTGACGGAAGTGCTGTTATGTGGCACATGACTGTACATGGAAATACACACACACACACACACACACATCCACACATAAGCATATGCATACACACACATATACATGTATATACACGTGCATATAACATATGTAGATATCTGCCAATTGCTATCCAATGTGAATTCCATAAATTTACACTCCTACCAGCAGCATTTGGGTATCTGAGGTGTCACACATCCTTGCCAGCACTGGATATTATTCCGGCTTGGAGATTTTGCCAGCCTGGTGGGTGTGAAGTGGATCTTGTTGTGGTTTTAATTTCCATTTCTCTAATTATGCAGAGGCTGAGTGCCAGGCTTCCTCTCCTGGGAAGAGCCTGCCGGCTTGCGGGCTGTCAGCACTCACTGTGGGTGCGGGTGGCGTGCTTGCCTGCACGGCCCTTGCCTCTCTTAGTCTACAGGGTCTCCACTCCTGAGTTCCCGGAAACAAGATACAGATTTCAGAATTGCACCTGAACATTGTTTACTGATTTACGGCTGGAAGTGAGGGCCTGAGGGATTCTTCTATGGAATTGTATGACTCAGCATCTTTTTGATTGCAAGCAGCAGTATGGCAGCCTAAGCGAATCTATTGGCTTCTTCAACAGACCAATCTGGTGGATGTGGTGGCTTCCGGTGAGGGATGCTCCAGGGGCTCTCCATGATGTCCCCAAGGTCCTTTAACCTCTGGGCACTGCTTCTGCAGGATTGGCTTTGCTTAGGGTTGGTTCCCCTTCATTCTTGAGCTGGTTGTGGGCAACTCCTGCCCCCTGTGGGGGGACTGGACTGCCTTAGATCACATATGTGTCCCTGATTCTCTGTGGTCAGGGGATAGAATATTCAGATTGGAGTGGAGCCAGCTTCTCCTAAACCACGTGGATCTCCAAACGGAAGTCAGAGCAGATGGGAAGGGGGAGCAGACGTTGAGCTCAATCAATAAACATCCACCTTGGGAGTTGCAGCCTGGAGGGCTTGGTGACTGCCACGCTGGCTGCTCAGAGCTCCTCGCTTACTTTTGGGCATATGCCTGTGAACCAGATGGTGGCACCTCCTGAAAATCGGGTCTGTGGATAATGGGAGGATTTTTTAAATTACGAAAATGTTCATTATGGAAGAATAAATGAAGAATAGCATATGAAAACCTGTATCTCTCCCACTTAGGTTCAACAATTATTAGCATATTGCCATGTATGTTTCTCTCTTTCCTTCCTCTAAAGTTTTGCTGAGCATTTCACAATGAGTTCGAGGCACTGTGACACTTTGCTCCCAATCCTTTCACTTGCATGTGTTAAAAACAAGGACATTTTCTACAGAACCACAATACCTTGATCACATGTAAGGAAATTAGGAATCAGTTCTCAAATACTATCTAATATCCTGTCCAGGTTAAAAGTGCCCAGTGCTCCCTACATCTCTTATAGCTGTGACTTTGAACCAAGACTTAACCAAGTTTCACGCACTGCCTCACCTGTCTCTAAAACTAGAAAAGTTCCTGTTCCTTCCAGATTGAAAGTTTTAGGTTAAAAATATAGTTTCTCGACATTATTTTCTTGACTTTTCCTCTTGAAGGGCTATGTCTTGAAGAGCGCCCACAGCTTGAGTTCTTCTGTTTCTTCATGACAGGTTCAGCTTGTTCCTCTGTCCCCCTGTCTTTTCTGTATATTGAAATTTAGGTATAAATCCTTCATAAGGATTCACTTTATGCTCCATAAGTGAAGCTATGTTTTTTTGTACTCCTACGCTTTATGCTGCTGTGCTTCAGGACCATGTGACAGGTTATTACATTTGCTTTTTTGTCTCATTTCCCATCTTTTCCTCCATCTTCTGATCATAATTGAGCATTTTATTATCCCATTATATTTCCTCTATTGACTTATTGATGCCTCTTTAAAAAACTTTTTAGAGGTATTCTTCTGGTTCACTATATATATACATACAATTTTTTTTTTGAGATGGAGTCTCGCTCTGTCACGCAGCCTGGAGTGCAGTGGCGCGATCTCAGTTCACTGCAAGCTCCACCTCCCAGGTTCATGCCATTCTCCTGCCTCAGCCTCCCAAGTAGCTGGGACTACAGATGCCCCCCACCATTCCTGGCTAATTTTTTGTGTTTTTAGTAGAGACCAGGTTTCACCATGTTTCCCAAGATGGTCTCGATCTCCTGACCTTGTGATCCACCTGCCTCGGCCTCCCAAAGTGCTGGGATTACAGGCGTGAGTCACCGTGCCCAGCCCACAATTTATATTTTTAAACAATCTGAGCACACCTTAAAATAATATTGTACTTCTTCAAGTGCAGTGTAAGGACCAGTATACATGGAATTCCTCCCTCCTCCTCCTGTGTCGTTTTTATTACACACTTTGCTTTGACATATGTCACAAACATACAATAAATTATTATAATCTTCCCTTTAAACAATGATGTTTTAGATAAATTAAATTTAAAAATGATTTTCTTTTGTCTTCAGTCAATTTCCAGTATCTTCATTTCTTTTTCTAGATTCAAGTTTCTGTCTATATAATATTCCTTCCACTTGAAGAACTTTAATATTTTTTGTGTAGAGTGGGTTTTCTGGTAATGAATTCTTTCAGGTTTTTTTTTTTTGGAAGTCTTCATTTTTCATTCAGTTCTTTAAAAAAAAGAAATCTCTCCTTTGTCTTTTTGCTTGCATGGTTTCTGATGAGAAGTCTGTGGAAATTCTTATCTATGTTTCTCTGTAGATAATGTATCTTTTTCCCCATCCGGTTTCAAGAAGATTGTCTTTGTCCTTCATTTGTGGTGGTTTGAAGATGTATCCAGGTGTGGATTTTCCTGGTGTTTACCCTTCTTGATGTTCTCTGGGCTTCCTGAATCTGTGATCTGGTGTCCGTCACTCATATTGGAGAATTTTTAGCCGTTAGGTCTTCAAATACTTCTTTCAGCCTCTTCTCTGTGTCTTCTCCTTCTGGAACTGCACTACATGTATGTTAGGCCATCCAATGTTGTTCCAGGCTCTTCCCACGTGTGCCTGCCCTCTTCCGGGGTGGTGCCATGGTTAGCATGTGTGTCTGACCCTCTCCTAAGGTAGAGTTTTTTCTTTTTTCTGTTTTCCTCTCCCAGCTTCCATGGACTCCTACCAGTGACAGAGGCTCGGATTTTTGTGTTGTTGTTGTTTTTCTTTGCAGACTTTGTTCCATTGGGCAGAGAGTGGGGATGGGTCTGGGCAGAGTTTTGGAGGTAAATGTGTTTCCTTCCACCAGTACCCCAGGTAAAGCTTCCCTAGGATTTTCCTTGTGTCTTCCCTGGGAGCGGTTGGTGGGATCCTTGGAAGAAAAGCTTCAAGAGGGTGAGAACCTCCCATATGTCTGTGGCACCAGGGGTGTCACACTCCCATGCTTATCCATGCTTGGCCTTTAGTAAATTCTTACACATTTCTACCCAATATAGATCTATATCTACCAGCTTGTAATAGACTCAGTGGCATCTGCCCCAGGTGAGAACATGCTCAGGTCCTGTTTCTCCCCGGAAGCCTGTTTTTCTCCAGATTTTGGCTTGCTTGTTTCCCCTGTGACTCCATTTCTCTGAAGGCCTGATGAAAAAATCATTAACTTGCAGTTTCTCAGCTTTTTTTCTTATTGTAAGGGCTGAAGCAAGGCTCTTTCTGCTGTCTTCAAGCTGAAACTGGAAATCTGCTTTTGCTCTTGAAAGGTATTTTTGTGAGATGTAGGATTCTAGGCCGACGATTTTTTCAGTCTGCAAAGATGTCATCAATTGTCTCCTGCTGGCATTGTTTCTAATGACAAGCTGGAGGTATTTCTTTTCTTCCCCTCCTACATGTCATGTTTAATTTTTCTCTAGCTGCTTTTCAGAGTGTATTTTTATTTTTGGTTTTCAGTATTTGTTATAAAGTACCTTGGTGTGTTTGTGTATGTGTATGGTGTGTGTGTGTCTCTCTGTGTGTGGGGTGTGTGCATGCACATATTTGTTTGGGGTGTGTGTGGTGTGTCTGTGTGTGGTGTGTCTGTGTGTGTGTGTGTGTATGGTGTGGCTCTGTGTGTGTGTCTCTGTGTGTATGTGTGTTTGTGTGTGTTCATGTGTTTGTCTCTATGTGTGGTGTGTGTTTGTGTGTGTGTTTGTGTGTGTCTGTATGTGTGTGGTGTGCATGTGTCTGTGTGTGTGGTGTGTGTGTTTCTGTGTATGTGTCTCTGTGTGCATGTGTGTTTGTGTGTGTCTGTGTATGGTGTGTGTGTTTCTGTTTGTGTGTGTGTGTCTGTGTGTTTATGTGTGTGTCTGTGTATGGTGTGTGTGTCTATGTGTGTCTCTGTGTGTGTCTGTGTGTGTATGTCTCCGTGTGTGTCCGTGTGTTTGTGTGTGTGTGTGTCTCTGTGTGTGTGTGTGTCTCTGTGTGTGTCTGTGTGTTTGTGTGTGTGTCTGTGTGTGTGCATGCATGCACGTTATGCTTAGGACTTGTTATTTCTTCTGTAGGGTGATGTTTTTCAAGATTTTTTTTTTTTTTTGAGATAGAGTCTCACTCTGTCACCCAGGCTGGAGTGCAGTGGCATGATCTTGGTTCACTGCAACCTCTGCCTCCTGGGTTCAAGCAATTCTCCTGCTTCAGCCTCCTAAGTAGCTGGGACTACAGGCACACGTCACCACACTCAGCTAATTTTTGTATTTTTAGTAGAGACGGGGTTTCACCAGTTTGACCAGGCTGGTCTCGAACTCCTGACCTCAGGAGATCCACCCACCTCAGCTTCCCAAAGTGCTGGGATGACAGGCATGAGCCACTGTGCCTGGCATTTTTCATGATATTTTGAGAAATTTCGTCCATTATTTCTTCAAATCCATTTTTTATCCCAGCTGCAGTCTTTTTCTCCTCTCCTTCTGGGGCTCCAGGAATAGATTCAATGGATATTGACACTTATGTTAGACGACTTGACATTGTCTCACTGAATCTCTCTATTTTCTGAATGATTTTTCTCTCTCTTTCCTTCACATTGAATAATTTCTGTTGCTCTGTCTTTCAGTTCACTGATTCTTTCTTCTGCCATCTCCAATCTGTTTGTGAAGCTCGCCCAGGGTTGTTTTTGTTCCAGAGAGTGTAGTTTTCAGTGTCAGAATTTCCATTTTGTTTCAGGGCATTTCATTTCTGCCGAGAGTCTCCATCTGTTTGCTTATCGTCACCGTCTGTTCTTCTAAGCTCTTGAACATATTTGTAATAGCCATTTCTAAGTGCTCGTCTGTGAATTCCAGTGTCTCTGGGTGTATTTCTATTTACTGTTAGTCCTTTTCCCTGGCTGTGTGTCAGATTTTCCCAAATCTCTATGTGTAGGGTTTGTTTTTTTTTTTAACATACGCTGGACATTAAAGATGCTCCACTGTTGCATCTGGACTTGCAACAGTGCATCCTCCCTGGTGGGCATTTTCCTGGGTCAGATTGTCCTGCCGAGCTGCTTTTCAGCTTTGGTAGGGTGGGTCTGGTGCAGCCTTTACTCTAGGGCCAGGAAGCCAACTCCCAATGCCTGGCATTCTTGCTGGGCACCCAGGCCTCCCGCTCTGGCTGGTTGGGATGTGAATGACTCCCAGCAGCGTGTCGCCTCCGGGCTGTCCTTAGCTCCAGTCTCTTCATTCAGAGATGTCCTCTGTCAGGCCTCATCTTGCCTTTCACGTGTGCAGCTCAGTATCCAGAAGCCCTTAGAGGACCTTCCATGCGTTTCTGAATCTCTTCTCTGTGCAGCTCCCTCCTCTCTGATCCTCTGCCCTGCAAATCCCAGCTGCCTCAGTCTCCCCAGGCTGACTGAGCTCAGTGAGACACCTGTGCTCTGCCTAGGCTCCACCTGCCCATCCTGTGTCCAGAAAGTGCCTCCAGGCAGAAGTTAGGGAGAGCACAGGGCACAGTGTCACAGCCTGTGGCCCAGTGTCTGCAAACAGCCGCTTTGTCGATTTTGCCCAGCTTGATAGTCGTGTATGGTAGGAATGCTTGTCCTGTGCATGTTCATTTGTCATGGCAGAAGCAGAAGGTCAAGTGCATGTTTTCCGCTGCACAGAAGGGGGCATTCTGCACTCCTTGTTCCTCTCTGTTGTCCCTGAAGGCCGCGTCCTGGAGAGCAGGCGCGGGAGAGCACGGAGAGTGGACTGCTTCCTCCTCACGGCTGCCTGGTACCCACCGCATGGCCGCACCCTGGTTCATCTGACCAGGCCCTTGCTGAAGGACAGCTGGGATGTCTCCATTGTTTTGATACTGCTTATAATGCCATGACAAACGCCCTTGGGCGTATGTGATTTCCTACATTGGAGACGGCTGCTTCAGGCGATACACCTGTACTTTGCTCATAGGTTGCTGGATCTTCCCTTCGCACTGCGGCACTTTGTGCCCCGCAGGAATGGTACTGTCGTGTATGCTCCAAGTGGTGGGAGACAGGGCCCACTTCTCCGCACAGCTGCCTGCAGAGCATGTGGTCAAGCCCCAGTGCAGTGCCCACTGATGGGGAAGAAGTGGTGTCTCCAGGCAGCTCCCAGGCACGCTTGTTAAGTGAGGTCCCTCTGATGGCTTCTGTTTGAGGGTGGTCTGCATGTCTGCATGTCTCTCTGACCTGCCTGTTGACATCTTTTATGTCCCTTTTGTTCTGATCAGGTTTTGATCTTTTTCCCTCCCTGTTTTTATCAGAGCTCTTTCTGTGTTAGGGAGATCAGCCCTTTGACTGTGACATAAATTGTGGATTTTTCCCCTCTGTGTTGATCATGTGTGTTTTAACTTTGTTTATATTTTGCTTTTTGGCATGGTCTCAATTTTTTATATGTAATTATAACATTCACACATCAATATCATCAGTATCTTCCATTATTGCTTCTGACTTTGGAGCCACAGTTATTCCTGCTCTTAGATTATAAAAAATTCACATGCTGCAAATTCCTTGGGATCATTTGTAGTTTCATTTCTTCTTTTCTTTCTTTCTTTTTTTTTAAAAATAGAGACGAGGACTCCCTAAGTTGCCTAGGCAGGTCTCAGACTCCTGGGCTCAAGCGATCCTCCCGCCTCAGCCTCACGAAGTGTTGGGAGGCTTGAGCCACTGCCCCAGGCCCTGTGGTTTCATTTTTTACATTTCAATCTCTGATCCACTTGGAGTTTACTCTGGGATATGCCATAAAGTCAGATCCCATTCTATCTTTTCTAAATGTTTATCCAGTTGTTCCTATAATGCTGAGTTTCACCTGGGCTCAGCACAGGCTCGCTTGTACTCCCTACTGTGTGTTCTGGAAAAAGGCTTCCTGAAAGGAGCCGCTTCCTCGAGGGACTCAGGCAAGACTCACGATGCCCCCTGGTTTACCAGGGGCAAGGCCAGCCCCAGACCCCCCAGCCCCTCTGCCTGGTGAATGATCCATGGGACTGCCCCTCCCACTGAGGTGATGGCCCCACCACCCCCAGGAGCTCTGCCTCTGAGGACCCTCCAGCCCCTCGAAGACTGTGCAGGAAGGACAAAGTCCCCGCCTCAGTGCCATCCGGACAAGAGGAAGGCGGCAGGTCCAGGAGGGGCCTGTGGGGTGGAGGAGGCTGGCGGAGGGGTCACCTTGCGAGGGGCAGGCCGCAGACACCTCAAGAGCCAAGCTGAGAGTCAAGCTGTGGACGCTGGAGCAGAAGGGAGGGATGGGAAGCCTCCACTAGACTCAGGGGCCTGGTGCAGGTGTCCAACAGGGTCGGGAAGGCCTGGGCTATGGGGTGAGGCTGGGGAAGCAGAGTCCAGGGTGGGGTCAGGGAAACTGAGTCAGGCAGGGGAGGGGCACCCGGGCCTGGCAGGACAGGATCCGGGCTGAGGGGGCAGGCCCCGGGGATCCGGTCACAGGACGAGCTTTTCCAAAGGTGTCTTCCATGTGCAGCTGGCCCTACACCCAAGGTCACTTTCTATCCTGCAGCCGGAAGGTGTCTGATCCATCGGAAGGCAGGGTCAGTTCTGACGGATCCAACTGGCTGGTCCCTTGCGGCTCAGTTCAGCTGCTCTCAAAAGCTTCCTGACTGACCCCTGGGTTAGTTGACACAGGCCTGGGGACCTGAGGCTCCTGCAACAGAGTTGGTGGGTGGGGCAGGTGGAGGTGGGGCTGATGGCTGCCCCTCTGCTTTAGGACCCAGTGCAAGGTGGCCAGGAAAACATGCCACAGACCAGGGGCTTTCACCACGGAAATGAATCGTCTCCCAGTTCTGGAGGTCAGAAATCTGAGGTCAAGGTGTGAGCAGGGATGGTTCCATCCTGGGTCTGCAAGGGAGAGCGTTTCCCAGGTGCAGCTCCTGGGATGACTAGCTGCCCTTCCCAGCTACATGTACTGGACGCAGCCTGTGAGGCAGCAGCACTGCTCCCATGGCCTCAGCCCCAGAGCTGGGGTTCAGAAAGGCCGAGTCTCCCAGAAGGTTGCACAGCGTTTTGGGGTCCAAGCAGGTTTCCATCACGAGGCCAGCACCTGAAATGCAGAGCTCCATGATTGGGTGCTGTGCCAAGATGTGTTTGTCAACCCTGACACATCTTTTTAAGAGGTTACAGAACTCTGCTCCCAATGGCTCTGATACTCTCATGGAGACACTGGGACCCAAACTGAGAGAGTAGGAGAGAGAGGTTGCCAAGGAAACCTGCCCAGAGATGCAGCTGGCAACATTAGCGCCCATCACTTTCACAAGCCTGTGGTGTGGAAGTCAGGCAACCACAGGGCACATGCACCTGCTGGGGGTGTGCACACATGAACATATATGTATGCGGGTGAGCAGGTGTGCACGTCTGTGTGTGAGCAGTGTGAACATGTGTATGTGTGTGTGAGCAGGTATGCACGTGCCTGTGTGTGAGAGCAGGTATGCATATATGTGAGCAAATGTGCACATGAGTATGTGTGCATGGCAACAGGTGTGCACATGTGTATGCATGTGGGCATGTGTGCACTTGTGTCTGAGTGTGAGCAAGTGTGCACATGTGTATGTGTGCATGTGAACAGATGTGCACGTGTGAGAGCAGGTGTGCATATGTGTGTGTGAGAGCAGGTGTGCACGTGTCTGTGTGTGAGCAGTTGTGCGCGTGTATGTGGGCAATTGTGCACATGTGTATGTATGTGTGGGCATGTGTGCACATGTGTCTGTGTGTCAGCAGGTGTGCATATGTCTGTGTGCATGTGAGATGTGCATGAGTGTGGGGGCAGGTGTGCACGTGTGTATGTGTGTAAGCAGGTGTGCATGTGTGTTTGTGTGAGCAGGTGTGCATGTGTGTGGGGCAGCTGTACATGTGTGTTTGTGTGAGCAGGTGTGCATGTGTGTGGGGGCAGGTGTACACATGTGTAAGTATGTGAAGGCAAGTGTGCACATATGTCTGAGTGTGAGCAGATGTGCATGTGGGCAGATGTGCATGTGTGTGGGCAGGTGTGCACATGTGCATGTATGTGTGGGCAGGTGTGCACATGTGTATGTGAAGGCAGGTGTGCACGTGTGTCTGAGTGTAAGCAGGTGTGCATGTGAGTGGGCAGGTGTGCACGTGTATGTATGTGTGGGCAGGTGTACACATGAGTATATATGTGTGGGCAGGTGTGCACATGTGTATGTGAAGGCAGGTGTGCACGTGTGTCTGAGTGTGAGCAGTTGTGATGTGTGTGGGCAGGTATTGACATGTGTCTGAGTGTGAGCAGGTGTGCATGTCTGTGTGCATGTGAGTAGGTGTGCACGTTTAGGTGTGCACATGTGTATGTGTGTTAGCAGGTGTGCATGTCTGTGAGCAGGTGTGCATGTGTGTGGGCAGGTGTGCACATGTGTATGTGTGTGGGCAGGTGTGCACATGTGTATGTATGTGAAGGCAGGTGTGCACATGTGTGAGCAGGTGTGCACATGTGTATGTATGCATGTGGGCAGGTGTGCACATGTTTGTGTGGGCAGGGGTGCACATGTGTATGTGTGTAAACAGGTGTGCACATGTGTCTGTGTGAGCAGGTATGCACGTGTGTGGGCAGGTGTGCACATGTGTCTGTGTGTGTGGGTCAGGTGTGCATATGTGTCTGTGTGCATGTGTGTGGGGGGGGCATTGCTCTCCCAGATACAGTGTTAGTGGGAGTCCCAGGCAGTCCCAGGCCCTCAGAGCTTCCTACCCTCTCCACAGGCTGGGGAGGCAGGAAGATAAATTTGAGCCATGTGGCTGGTGGGCCCAGCCCGAGGACAGGGACCTTTTCAGAGGTGGGAGGCTGCCGGCGGTGGTGACTTCAAGCCCTGCCCCTTCCCTAGTTTGTGTCCACCCAGCGTCCTGCCCTGGTCACCAGCACCAGCAAGGCTTCCCAGACACGGCAGTTGACATTCCTTACTTTTTTTAGCCCAGGGTTAGGTATGCTGCAGGTGGTCCATAAATGCTGCCCTGGATGCTTTTTGCAGGAGAAATCATAGGAAGGGGAGGGACACCCCACCCAGCCTCATGCCCCCAGATGAAGGATCGGGCAGAACAAGAACAGGAGGTGGGCCTGGAGCTAAGGGGGTCCTTTTTATGTCAAGAGTCGCTTTATATGTCTCTGAGTGCCATAACGCACTGCTTGGCAATGAATGGCTCATTTAAATTCGCATTTGCCAGCCTAGTTCCCCTCCTGCACCTCTGCCCATGCATTGCTTTGCACTTGCTTTTTGTGGGGGCTTTGCTCCCCGGGCCAGGCAGGGAGTGAGGGTGGGGACCGGCCCGTCTCTCACAGCCTCCCTGGGCTGAGGCTATGGGACTTCTACGTTTTGTTTATGAGATGGAGTCTCCCTCTGTCACCCAGGCTGGAGTGCAGTGGTGCGATCTCAGCTCACTGCAAACTCTGCCTCCCGGGTTCAAGCAATTCTCATACCTCAGCTTCTTGAGTAGCTGGGATTACAGGCATGCACCACCATGCCCGGCTAATTTTTGTATTTTTGGTAGAGATGGAGTTTCACAATGTTGGCCAGGCTGGTCTCAATCTCCTGACCTCAAGTGATTTGCCTGCCTCGGCCTCCCATAGTGCTGGGATTCCAGGCGTGAGCCACCACTTCTACTTTCTAGTTTGTCTCCCTTTGAGTGACTCTCCATGAATCAGGGGCCTGGCATGAAGGAGCCACAGAATCTCCAGTGGGCAATTGTGGGGCTGATGAAGGATGTTTTGGGGTGAGAGGGGTGGTTAGGGAAACCAGCAGGGGCTGGGAAAGCCCGTTTACCTGGAGCTTACCTGGGAGAACCTGGAGGAGCAGCCTCACCTGGACATTGTCCAGAAAATTACCCTTCCCTGCCTTGGGCCTGGAGGGGCAAGGGCAGAGGCGCTTCCCGCACCTGGTGGGCACTGATTTCCAGGAGTTGCTGGACCTCTGGGGTGACCCAGGTGGCCCTCCCACAGCCCAGTGGTCAGGGAGCAGGGGCCTCACGTGCCCAGACCTACCTCATTGAGGGCAGGAAGCCTGAGGGATTCTGTGCACAGGGGAAGCCTGGGTCCAGGGCTGAGGCTTGTGCCTTCGTCCGCTCTGTCCTTGAGGGCTGTGCGTGCCTGACAGCAAGGAGCTTGGCCCATATATACTCTTTCTTTGTTTTTCCGACACCATGGACCCTCCTCTGTGTGCAAGGGAGGCCCTGGGTCCGGCTGCAGGAACATTGACACCCGCATGGCTGGTGCTCTGAGAGGCTGGATTTAGGCCCAGGCCTGAAACTCCCAGCCAGGCTGCCTCCCAGGCCAAGGACTGTGAAACATGTTCTGAAGACAACGGGCTCCCAGGGTTTTGAGCCTGGGGGTGACTCTGGCGTTTGAAAGACCCCTCTGGCTGCTGCTGGGGAATGGTCTGCAGGGCAGGAAGGAGGCCGCTCCCAGCCCAGAGAACCATACCTAGGCAATGGTCAGAAAGTCTTTACATGTAGGGCAAATGGTGCGCTGTGGGATCCCCTGCATCCAGCGCTGGCCCAGGCGCCTTGGCAGGGTACCGGCTGCACCTGCTTCTCTCTTCTTTCTCCCCCTCCCACCTCCCCATCAGGAACTGGGTCCTGCTGGCTCAGGGCAGACTGCCATGGTGACAGCCACCTCTGCAACGCTGAGTTCCTGGAAGCCTCACTTTGTCTTTACGTTATCATGGGGGAGATGAGGAGATAACTGAGACCCAGACAGGAGCTGCTCCTGCCCTTGGCCTCGTGTCCATGTGCCACAGCTGTCTCTGATTGGTTGCCCTGGGGAGTGGGCCCCACCCCAGGCCTCAGCAAGTCCCTGTGGGGATCACTGGGCAATTGTGGGCCAGAGCAGTGTGGGCAGAGCTGTGGGTGGCTGCACTTGGTCCCACCACCTTTTCAGTGAAGCCATTGCTGTCTCTGTGGCATATTCGAGCTAGGGTGGGTCTCTGAGCTCCCGCCTCAGCTTTCTGCTTTGGGGGCCCTGCCTGGGGACTTTTCCTCATTCAGTACATCTCCCTGTTGGCCTTCCAGAGCTACCCACCTCCTCTTCATCCTTGATCAAGTAGCAAAGTGGACATGGACGTGAATATCCCTGAAAGACTCAGACCCTCCCCCTCTGGAGACCCTGCCTGAATGCAGACTGTCATCATCTCTTCTCATTCATCTTCCTTTCTGGCCTGGGAGTAGCCAGAACCTTCCAGGGCCTTATCTGATCCTTGTTGGCCTCTCCAGGCCCTGGCGTGGGATGGTGTCAAGGAAGACAGGTGACGATTGATCATGAAAGCAATGAACAAATGGATAGTGAGACTGCTGGGTCCTTGTGAGAACCCTGCCCGGCCAGACCCACTAGGACTGTCCCATTCGACAGCGTAGGAGACTGAGTCTCCAGGTGGGGGATATGGTTACCATCTCAGTGCGGCTCCTTGCAGTGTCCTTTCTGGTCCTCGTTCATCTGCATAACTCTTATCATCCTTCAGGGCTCGGTTTAGGAGCTGCCTCTCCCAAGAGGCCTTCCTGGGCTCTTCTTTGTGTCCCTATTCCCCTTTCCTTACTTGGCCTCAGCCCTCCACTCCCCTTGCCTCCCCCTCTGTCCTGTGAGCTTCCCAAGGGCAGAGCTGGCTTTAGGGAGGCGTTTCCCAGAGGCACTTGCAGAGAGGATTGCTCTTCATCTTCCAGTTGGCCCAGGCAGCTCTCACAATCTTGGTTCCACCCACAGAGGCCCTTGTTGCAGGGGTAGAGGGTCCTCCTGGGCCCTCCCCTGCACTTTTGGTTTGTCCCCAAGAGGACAGGCCATGCCTCCTTTACCTCTGGTGGCAGCGCCCCCAATCCTGAGCCCCTCCACTCTCTCTCTGGGAACCTGGGTGCCTGGGGGTCCTTTACACAGCTTCCGGGTGTCTGATAAGGGCTGCCACAGACATACTGGCCAAGAGGAGAAACCAGCCTGGCTTTTTATTTTTGCACCTTCTTAAAAAGAAAACAACAGCATCAATATGTTAAAAATAAAGTATTTTTACTTTAAAAGGGCAAAAACAGCCCAAACAAAGAGCCAATGAAAAGATCTTGGCTGGAGGTCCTGGCATTTACTCATAGCTGCCCAAGGGTGGAAATGATTCAGACAGGGACCCATGGAGCAGTGCGCCAGCAAAGTACCAGCCCTACTGCGTGCCAGGGAATGGAGAGAACACCCCTAAGAAGCACATGGTGCCTGCACAGAGTGTGCTGAATGAACCAACAACAGGGCACGTGTCTTTAGAGTAGCTTCTGCCAGAGAGGAGGCATGTACACCAGTAGCTTGTGGGGCTGGGAAGTCAGGGAAGGCTTCCAGGAGGAGGTGGCTGGTCTGTGCTGAACTTTGAAAGGCATTCCAAGCAGAGGGAATGCTGTGGAGGAGCCAGTGTGGTGTGTATGGGGTACCTGTCCTGGCAGAAGGGTTCAGAGCAGCGCTCACAGGCCAGGGAGCCCCAAGTTCAAATCCTGCCCCACACCTGGAGGAGCTGGGACCTCTGGCAACCTGCTCACCTCTCTGGGCCTATGTGCGTGTGTGCAAAGCCCCAGGCAGGGAGACCCAGCGGCTTCAGGGCTGTGTGTGTGGAGCATAGAGTGAGGGTGCTGCTGCCGTACCAGCCCTGTCTGGTCAGCACCTTCCAGTAGGTTGTGCTTCCCCATTTGGCCAGACTATCTGTTATCTCACTGGGCCCCAAACACCCCTGGGAAGTAAGTGGGGCTTTCAGAAGTGGGAAACGGCTGCTCAGAGAGGTTGAGTTACTGGCCCTGGGGCACACAGCCCAAAGAACAAGGAAATTAACCCTGAGTCATTCTGTCTTGGCCACTTTGGTCTCTGATGTCTCTAGTCAAGGGAGCGGGGACTCCAGGGTGGGAGGGGGCATGAGGAGGCCCTGTGCATTGAGGGGCCAAGGGTCTTGGGCCAGGGTCAACATTCTTCTAAGTTGTTGTGGATTAGCATCAGACCTCTTGGGGGCAGTTGCACTGGCTGCACTGGAAGAGAGTTTGAATTCATTCACTCATTCATTCATTCATTCACCCATTCATTCATTCATTCACTCATCCTCCTGGCTCCTTACTCTGCCCACACTGTGCTGGGCACCAAGGGCACGGGGGGCAGTGGCCTTTGGGCTCTGCTTCAGGAGCTGCTGCTCTGCGGGTGGGGGCTCACAAGCTGGGGCTCGCCAGGCCTCTGGGACCAGCATTCTCAGCTCACCAGCCTCCCGCTAAGAAGGCCCTGGCACCTGTAAAATCCAGTTTCCAGGTTCTACTTGGAGATCTGGACTCAGGAAGTCAGAATGAGGTGAGGGACCTGCATTTATCACCCCCCTGCTGGTTCTGAGGCAGAGCCCATTGGCCACACCGGGCTGGCCTTTGTGGGACCTGGACTGGTCTGAGCCCAGGACCAGGCTACTCCTGTTAGAAGCCTCTCGTGGGACCGCCCACTGCCCCACCTCCCTTCCAGGTCCCTAGGACTCCTGCAGAGAGTAGGGCTCGGGAGGGGCTTGCCAGGATGTCTGAGGACCAGAGGTGGGGCAGCGGGGGGCCTCCAGTGGGACTGTGGGAGCTGTGTGGGGACGAGGACCAGGGCCTATAGGTGGTCAGGGAGCCAGTGGGTTGAGGGTGAGCTGAGCTGCCCGAGGCCATGGGCCAGGGAGAGGCAGGCAGGGCATGCCTGGAGCCCTCATCACTCCCTAGGCTGGCCTCCTCGGGCATGTGGGTCGGGGCACTTCAAGCTTCGCAGGGAAGGCTCCTGGGGCTGGCCTGATCATCCCACAGGGTCTCGGGCCCAGGACCCCACTAGTGAAGTGGCAGGGTCTGGGCCTCCTTAGGGAATGTCCATAGGAAATGTTTATGTGTCCCGTTTCCTCGGTAAGGGATTGGAGGAGCAGGGAGCAGGGGCTCTTGGCTCCCCACCTGTGGTGGGCTCATAGCTCCCTTTGTAGGAGACCGTTGGCCTCTCTGAGCTTTAGTTAACTGAATGGGAACCATGGAGACCTCACCGGTTGTTATGAGGCTCGAGTGAGTCAAAGATGGTGAGGCCAGGTGTGGGCTTGGCGCTCAGTAACTGCTCCAGATGGGCTGGCTGTCACCATTACCCCAAGCCTGTGCAGCCAGGAGTGATGAGCCCGGTAGGACCCCAGCTCCGATGTCTGCAGTCTCCCTGGGCTGTCCTGTGGGGCGCGGGGCTCCCTCTGCTTTAGGCTTCCGGCTTGTCTGGTGTCTGAGACCCCTCAGTGACCACATCTCCAGCCCCTTTCAGCCACCCCCCTCCCCCGTGGGCTGAGGCAAGGACAGCTAACCCTCTCTCTTTCCCAGTCTGTCTTGGCTCCAGAGACCCTGGCTCCACATCCTTGCCTGAGGTCTGGCCTGACCAGCCCCTGCCCGCCTCCGTCTGTCTGAGGGCCTGCCAGGCACAGCCAGTGCCTGCCATAGTCTGTCTGCTGGCCCCTTGAGCTCAGCAGTCTCTGATGCTGGCTGGAATGGCAGGCAGGCTGCGTGCCATCGCTGTAACCACTGTCAGGTGACTCCTCTTTTCTCAGGCAGGGACACACAGCAGGATGTGGGGTCAGGCAGGAAACCACAGGGTCTCTGTGTCCCTCAGACACCTGGGACAGGAATGGACACTGTGGCCCTACAAGGTAGAGAGGGCTGCCATCCCACTGAGCAGGGGAGTGCCCTTTGACTCTGCCCAGCAGAGAGGTCTCCTCAGAGCTCAGATATCCCTGGGCCTCCCTCCTTGTCCCTGTCTGTGTCCATGAGCACCAGCCTGAGATGTCCCCATGGTGGGACAACAATGATGCATTTCAGCACTTTTAGCTTGGCCCCAGGGAGTAGGTAGGGCTAGGCTAGATTTGTGAAGTAGATGAGTGAGTGAAGGAGTGAGTGAAAGAGTGAATGAGTGAGTGAACGACTGAATGAGTGAGTGAGTGAATGGGTGAATGAAAAAATAAGAGAGTGAGTGAGTGAGTGAGCAAGTGAATAAGTGAACAAGTGAATGAGTGAGTGAGTGAATGAGTGATTGAGCGAATGAATGAGAGCAAATGAATGAATGAGTGAATGAGTGACTGAGCAAATGAGTGAGTGAATGAGTGAGTGAGTGAATGAGTGAATGAGTGAGTGAATGAATGAATGAACGAATGGATGAGTGAGTGAATGAGTGAGTGAGTGAATGGGTGAATGAACAAATGAGCGGGTGAGTGAGTGAGCAAGTGAATAAGTGAACAAGTGAATGAGTGAGCGAGTGAATGAATGAATGAATGAGTGAGTGAGTGAATGAGTGAGTGAATGAATGAGCGAATGAATGAGTGAATGAGTGAGTGAATGAGTGAATGAGTGAGGAAATGAATGAGTGAATGAGTGAGTGAGTGAATGAGTGAAGGAGTGAGTGAATGAATGAATGAGTGAACAAACGAATGAGTGAGTGAATGAGTGAGTAAATGAGTGAGTGAGTGAATGAATGAATGAGTTAGTGAATGAATGAGTGAGTGAGTGAATGAGTGAGTGAATGAGTGAGTGAATGAGTGAGTGAGTGAATGAGTTAGTAGGTGAGTGAATGAGTGAGTGAATGAGTGAGGGAATGAAGAAAGGAATTAGTGAGTTCAGAGCCCATAGACCCTGGAGGACGAAGGTTCATTAGGCCCCTCCAGTTCAGCGAGTTCCTGGGAGGTCTCTGGATGCTGTGGGGTGCTAAGCTGTCACCTCATGATCCACGCAGATGGGGCTTCACTGGCCTGGGGCCAGGCTCAGGGAGGAGGAGGATGCATCCCTGTTCCTGGGGACCAAGCCACAGTGGGGTGGGGCACGTGGGTGAATGCAGAGTCGCCTGCCTGGGCTTGCTTTCCATCTCTGCCCTTGCCTGCTGCTTGGCCCTGGGCCTTCAACTTCACCTCTCTGCTTCTGCTTATTTATCTGCAGAATGGGCCTAGTGGGGGAGCTGTGAGGATTGCATAACTGTGGTGCATGAATGTGTATGTAGGGTGGGGCCTGCACATGGGAAGCCCGATTAGGTATCAGTATCACTGGGCCAGGCACTCTGTGGGCTGCTCCCAGAAGCCCATCCTATGGAATTCACACACCCAGCATGCCCACCCTGCAGCCTGGCAGCCCTGTCTTCTCCCAAGCACATCTTCCACGGCCTCACCCCACGTGGCTGCCCTGCCCCTCAGGCTCTTCCTCAGCCTGCTGGAAGCTGGTGCCTCAGGGCCTTTGCACTTGCTGCCTGGAACACGATTCCCTGTGTCCACGTGGCTCCCTCCCCGGCCCCTGTGTCTCTCCCTAAGCACCCCCAGCGAGGTCTCCCCTGCAGGTGACCCCCCTGTTTTATGGGTTTTGTCTCTCGTGCACTCTTGCTCCCTGTGGCTTTCCTGGCATGGATTGGGCACTCGGAGTGCATGTGGAAAGAAGGAATTGTCTACAAGGAGCAGTGCAAAACATGCTATGCACAGGCGTGTGGAGCCATGAACCCAGGACAGGGCTGAGGCCGCACACTGAGTGTCCAGGGCAGAGGAAGGATGTGTCCAGAGCCTGGGCGGAGGGCAGGGCCAGGCTAGGCCCAGGATAGAGGAGACGGTCTATGTGGAGAGCAGAGCCAGGCCCAGCCCGGGACAGAGGAGACGGTCTGTGCTAGCTGCGTAGGAGTCCCGGCTTTGTCTCGAGGGCAATGGGAAGCCACAGAGGCTACAGGCAGAGCCATGCTGGACAAACCCTCCCTGGAGAAGGTTAATGACAGGTGGGGGAAGAGGAGGGCCAGGCTGGGGGCAGGCCCAGGGCAGAGCTGGCAGCCGAGGTTGTGCACAGATGGTGAGACACTCACAAGCAGGAAGACTGTGCCAGGGGCCATCTGACCTCGCTGGACACAGAAGAGTGAAGAGGCCTCCTCCATCTGTGCAGAGTCCAGGCCCGCCCCCACCCCGGACACTGTCTGCCGAGGGCACGCACCCTTCCTCCCTCTCCACTGAGGTGGGGGCACTGCTTTCTGACCTGGCAGGCAGCCCTGGGCAGAGGGAGCTGAGCTCTGTCCTGCCTCTGACTGTGTGTGCGTGAGAGATGGGGGCCCAGGGGGTGAGCAGGACTGTCCCTCGTCTAGGCCACCTGCAGGGGTGGTGCACCCACCAGCCAGGTGGGGCTGCTCAGTGTGCGCTGTGACCATGGCAGGGGAGGGGCTTATTAACATGCAGCTGTCAGGTCTGGATATAGCTTGGCCGGGGGCCAGCCTGAGCTTGAAGGAGTGATAGTTTGCAGTGGTGGGGCTCATTTTAGGGGTCTCCATGAGAGCGGGGATAGACCTTATTTGTCTCCGTACTCTCAGCATCCTAGCACGATGCTTGGAACAGAGTGGAGGAGAGTAGACTTTCTGTAGAATGGATCAACCCCACCCAGGGTTCGAGTCAGCGTGGCACACATTCAAGGAGAAACTCGAGGGTTCCACGATGAATGCACTGCTGTCTGCAAGATGAGAGGTGGCTGGTAGGGCAAGGAGGGCTTCCTGGAGGCACTGGGGCAGGGAGGGATCATGGGGTGGTCACTCTCTCAGGACAGAGTTAGCTCCAGGGCTGTGGCCTATAGGCACCAACCCTGGGGAGCTGCTGGTCCTCTCCTCTGCAGAACCCTGCCCTGTCCTGCCCCTGGAACCCCTGGGTAGAGTTCTGTGACCCAGCACACCTGGACGGTTCAGGCTGGCCCCTGACTGTGCAGAGAGAGCAGAGGCCCCAGGCCACCGTGGAGGTGCTTGAGCCTATGGTCCAAGGTAGAACCACGTGAGGAGGGCTTTGATGCATGAGGAGTCAGAGCCAGGCCGAAGCATCTGGGGTCAGTGACACAGGCTCCGGAGAGCTGGCTGTGCTCCTGTGTCTCCTCCCAATGCTGCTTTCAGTGCCTTGGGGGCTCCAAGTCAGCCATGGTTGGGTTTACACCATGGATATCAGCAAATGCTAAAGTCAGGGCTCTCCCAGCCCTGATGCAGAGCCAGTTGTTAAATCTTTACCAGCACGGCACTGACAGGGAAGAGGAAGAGCTCAAAACAGAGAAAGGTCCCAGGCCGAAGGTGTGGAGAGGACACCCAGCACATGCAGGCACATATAGACACACTTACATGCAGATACATCCAACACCCGAAAACACAGAGACTTCAGACAGGCAGACAGACACACGCACACACCGACATGCCACAGGCACAGCTATGCCCCAACACACAGACACATGCACACATACATTCACCCATGAGAGCACACTCAAACAGGTTTGCATACAGTTAGAAACACACACTGGAACTCTCAGACACACAACTCCATGTGTACACACAGCCACACACAGATGCACACACACAGGCAGGTGAGGCTCAAGGCTGTGCAGCCTTGTCTTGCTGCAGTCTTTCCCCTGGCTTGGGCTTGTAGAGGGTGTGTTTCTGACAGCTGCCCAGCCCTACCCTGGGGGCTGCTTGATCTGGCCTCTGTTCATTGGCCACACTCTGCTAGGATATGGCCCCAGTTTGGGCCTTTGATTGACTCATTGTCCCTTCACTTATCACACACTTTTCATTTATGACCCAAGTATTTGCTCACTCATTCATCCACCCACCTGAACATCCATCCATCCATCCATCCACCTATGTACCATTTATCCACCCATTATCCAAGATATAACCATCCATCCATCCATCCATCCATCCATCCATCCATCCATCATCCATCCATGCATACATGCATCCATCCATCTTCCATCCACTCATCCACCCACCCATCCACCTATCCACTCATCCATTATCCATCATCCGTGATATATCCACCATCCATCCATCCATCCACTCACTTGAACATCCATCCACCCATCCATCATCCATCCATCTATTATCCATCCACCCATTCAATCACCCGTCCATCCATCATCCACCCATCCATCCACCCACCTTAATGTCCACCCATGCATCCATCCATCTACCCATCCACCCACCCATCCATCATCCATTCACCCATTCATCATCCATCTACCCATCCACTCATCCATCCATCTATCCATCATCCACTCATCCATCCATCTATCCATCATCCACTCATCAATCCATCCATCCATCATCCACTCATCCATCCATCTATCCATCATCCACTCATCAATCCATCCATCCATCATCCACTCATCCATCCATCCATCCATCATCCATGTTACACCCATGCAACCACCTATCATCCACCCATACATCCACCCACCTTAACCTCCATCGACACATGCATCCATCCATCCATCAACCCATGCATCCATCCATCTACCCATCCACCCACCCATCCATTATCCATCCACTCATCCATTATCCATTCACCCATCCATTATCTACCCATCATCTGTCACCCATCCATTCATCTGTCTAAACAGGTATTTCCTCCCCCCTCACTTGCCCTTGTCAAACCATCAATCTTCCTGGGGCCATGCTGCGTGTCTTTGGAAGACTGTGCTCACCTCAGGCTTTGTGTTGTGTGGTTTGTGTGAGTGGTTTGTAAGTGTGTTGTGTGTGTGTGGTGTGTTGTGTATGCATGTTCATGGGCAGAGGCCTCCAGGAGCACCCACACACAGGCAGGGATATTTGCCCTCCCTTCACACTGTCCTGCCACTCCCCTCTCTCACTCAGCCCCTGCTCTCTGTAGGAGCGGGATTTCTCCTCCGTCCAGGTGGGGGTGGTTTCTGACACCTTGGCCTGGCCTCCTGCTCTCACCGTCTGTGCCCAGGGGCAGGGCCTTGTCCTGGAGACCCCACAAAATGAGGGCCCCTGAGTGAGGGTGGGGGGTCAGAAGGGTGCCCTGTTTCCTGACTCTGCTGCCTGGGGAGGCTCCCAGCTGAGCGGGAGTTGAGAGAGGCCCTTCACACTTGCTGGTCTGGCTGTTAGCTCGGAGCCCAGCCTTTCTGTGTTATTTTGCTTTATGAAGTCTCTTATAAGTGGTAAGACATTAGACTGGTCTTTTTTTTTGTAACCAGAAATCCTTTATATTTACATAATTCTACCTGTATTTGGAATGAGTGTGTCATATTGACCTCTCGTCCTTCCCCTCCCCCTCTTCCCCCCTCCTTCCCTCCCTTCTTCCCTCCCGTCCCTCCCTTCCCCTCCCAGTCTCCCTTCCTTCTTCCCTCCCGTCCCTTTCTTCCTCTACCTTCTTCCCTCCTATCCCTCTCTTCCCCTCCCCTCCTTCCCTTCCCCTCCGTCCCTTCCCTCCCTTCCCCTCCCCTCCCTCCCTCTCTTCTTTTCTTCCTCCCTTCCTTCTTCCCTCCCTCCCTTCCCCTCCCCTCCCTCCCTTCTTCCTTCTCATCCCATTTCTTCCTTCCTTCTTCTCTCCCATCTCTCACTTCCCCTCCCTCCCATCCCTCTCTTCCTCCTTCCCTCCCCTCCCTCCCTTCTTCTCTCCTGTCCTTCCATCCCCTCCCCTTCCTTCCTTTTCCCTCCCATTCCTCCCTTCCCCTCCTCTTCCCTCCCTCCTTTCCCCTCCCATCCCTCCCTTCCTTCTTCCCTCCCATCCCTCCCTTCCCCTCCCCTCCTTCCCTTCTCCTCCCTCCTCCCTCCCTTCTTCCTTCTTGCCCCTCCCTTCCTTCCCCTCCCTTCCTTCTTCCCTCCCCTCCCTCCTTTCCTTCCCACCTCCCATCCCTCCCTTCTTCCTTCCCCTCCCTCCTTTCTTCCCTCCCATTCCTCCCTTCTCCTCCCATCCCTCCCTTCTCCTCCCCTCCCTATCTTCCTTTTTCCCTCCCATTTCTCCCTTCCCCTCCCCACCTTCCTGGACAATGAGACGTCTGACCTGCACCCATCATGACTGTCTAAGGGACCACCTTCTTCCTGTTGACCACCTCCTCTTTTTCGTGCCCCCCAATTCTTGTTTTTCTACATGTGGTTACTTTTCTTCCCTGCTCTATAAACCCCTAAATTTAGCCAGTTGAGGTGATGGATTTCAGAATGAGCTCCTACCTCCTCAGCTGCGCACCTGCAGGAAGCCTTCCTTCTTCCCTGCAGTATTCATTGTCTCAGTGACTGGCTTTCTGTGCAGTGAGCAACAATACCAACATCAAACTCCTGGTGTTTCAGACATATTTTCTGTCCACATATTTCTTCTTTTAAAAAAATCTGTAATGATTTAGAAGGCAGACATCATGTTTTTGAAACAGTCTTAAACTTATATTTGTCTAACAATGAAAGATTAAACAATGACTTTTGACTCCCTTTTATGGAAAACAGAGAACTTAATGCTGCTCCTCCTTGTTATCTTCATCCCTTTCCTAAGTGCATTAATTTCCTCTGAATTTACAAACCTCATACTTCTTACTTGAAATTTTAAACCCCTTAAAGTTTTCCAATGCGTTCCACTTTGTTGACGTTGTTATAAACTGTGTTTTAAATTTGTGTCAGCAGCAGCCTTTCTCACAAGAGTTGTGAATGCTTTGATTCTCTTATTTTTAACTGGCCTATCATTCCAGTCCAATTCTTTCTATGGTGATGTCCCTGCTGTCCTGTTTGGTATTTTGAAGGATTCCGTTCAAGCAACTTTTACAGAAGAGGTGACAGGTGCAGCCATCTGGAGCTTTTAGAAATGGCCAGAAATTTCTCAGGTCCTGGGGTTTCCCACACAGATATGCCAGTATCAGTTATCCCATGGTGTATTAGTCCGTTCTCACGCTGCTGTAAAGAACTGCCTGAGACTGGGTAATTTATAAAGGAAAGAGATTTAATTGACTCACAGTTCTTCATGGCTGGGGAGGCCTAGGGAAACTTACAATCATGGTGGAAGGGGAAGAAAACATGTCCTTATTCACATGATGGCAGGAAGGAGAAGTGCTGAGCAAAGAGGAAAAAGCCCATTATAAAACCACTCTCTATCATGAGAACAGCATGAGAGTAACCACCTCCATGATTTAATTACCTCCTACCAGGTCCCTCCCACAATACTTGGGGATCATGAGAGCTACAATTCAAGATGAGATTTGGGTGGGGACACAGCGGAACCATATCACATGGTCTGGAGGCATCTTTTATTTCAGCAGACACATTTGAAGACAACTTAATTTTAGCTTATTTGAAGATAATCTGTTTACTTTTTTCCTCTTGGGAGCTTTTCTGATGTCCTGTTTTTCCTGAAGTGCAAACTTCAGTGTAGCACAACACCCTCTGGCATTATTGCTCTCTCTGCATTATTTTTTTGCCCAGCATTTTCAATTTCTCCACCTGGAAAGTTTTCTTCTATTATGTTTTTGGCTGCTACTTCTGCTCCTTTCTTCATTTTCTCCTCAGGAGCATCTGCTATGTGTGGTTTGGCTCTGTAAGACCTTCACATCCAACCTGCCTCTGTTCTTGACTTTTCACTTCTATATTTTAATTTCGCTTGCGATTTGGAAGTGTTTCTCAAATTTTTCTGTTGTACCACGACTTTGCTTTTCTGCAGCTGCAAGTCTGCCATTTACACTAATATTTTACAGCAGCTGTTTTGTTTCTTGTTCACAGAGGAGAGTATTGGTCTTGCCTTGAGCTCTGAGGGAGAAATCAAGTTTCAGCCTTGAGAGTATGATGAAATGAAAGGGCCTCCACAGATAATGATCTTGTCCTGGTCAGCATTACCCAGCCTCCAGAGACAGACAGTTTTAAATCCTGATGAAATTCAGATTCCTGCCTCTGTGAAGGATAAAGCAGCAGAGTTACCGGCTCTTCCATTTTCCTTAATGAATGTCAGGAGTTGTCTTAGTTGGCTCTCTTTGCCATAAGGAAATGCCACAGACTGGGCAGCTCCAACAACAGACATTTATCCCTCACACTTCGGGAGACCAGGAGTGCAGGATCTTGGGGCCAGAAGGGCTGAGACCAGCAGTGCAGGATCCATAGGCCAGTAGGGCTAGCATCTGGGGAGGGCTCTTCCCTGGGCTGTGGGAGGCCGCCTTCTTACTGTGTCCTCACAAGGCCTGTCCTCTGAGTGTGAGGGAGTGGGGGGAGAGAGAGCTCTCTGGTGTCTCTTCTTCTAAGGACACTCATTCTGTTGGATTGCACTCCACCCTCATAATCTCATTGAACCTTAATTACTTCCTTAGAGGCACCAGCTCCAACTATAGCCACATTAAGGGATAGGGGTTCAATGTATACATTTTGGGGGTACCCAGATATTTGGTTCCTAAGAGGAGCTGAGCAAGATGTTCCTCAGGGAAGAAGAAACAAAGAGGAGCAGGTCACAGGCACCTGAGCCCCAGGCATTATTATTGGTGGAGGGTGTTCAGTTTCTTGGCATTTTGAACAAAGACTTGGACAAAATGCACAAACCAAGCAAGGAAAGAAGCAGAGATTTATTGAAAATGAAAGTACACTCTACAAGGTGGGAGCCAGCAGCAGAGATTTATTGAAAATGAAAGTACACTCTACAAGGTGGGAGCCGGCTGAGCACAGGGGCTCAAGAGCCCCGTTACAGAATTTTCTGGCATTTAAATACCCTCTAGAAATTTCCCATTCGTTACTTGGTGTACACCCTATGTAAATGAGGTAATGGCTTGCAATCAGTCTGATTGAGAAGCCACCAATCAGAGGCTGAAGTGACGTTACAAAGGTTACACCCTATGCAAGCGTCTGATTGGTTGTGAAAGCAACCAATTAGAGGCTAAAGCGAAGTTACAAACTTACACTCCTATGCAAATATATGATTGGTTGCAGAAAGTTACCAATCAGAGGTAGTTTCAATTTTCAATCTGCCAAGCAGAAAAGGAGGGGGGGGTTGCAAAGGGAATAGCCCCTCGTCCTTCTGTTACTTAGGTGTGGAAAGTTGTGGTTTTCCTTTTGATTTAGCTCTAGGAAGTCAGCGTGAATTGGCCTCAGGTTCCCTGCCTCCAGACCCTATTTTCCTGCCTCAGTGCAGCTGAGTGAGCCTTCTGTTTGGGTCATGCCCTAAGACCCAACCAGCTTTTGACCTTCTCCTGGGCAGGAGCCTGGGGGTGGGGGGTGGATCACAGACATTACATTCTCCTGAGGCAAATACCCAGGACGTGAGGACAGTCTGCCTTGGATGGGCTGCAGGCCCCTCTCCCTTTATCTCCACTGCACCCAGGTCTACGCCTCCTTTCCAAGGATCCAGAGCACTTTGAGTGAGGGGGAAGCAAGGCATGTATAGTGCATGGAGCAGAGGCCAGGTCGTTGCCAATGTTTAATGCACATCAGCTATTTTTATTGTGAATTCAAACACACTTTTATTGGAGTATAAGATGTGTTACAGACAAACACACTGTTATGAGTGGAATAGTGTCCCCCCAAAAGATATGTTGCAGGAGGCTGGGCACAGTGGCTCACACCTGTAATCCCAGCAGGAGTTTAAGACCAGCCTGGGCAACATAGTAAGACCCCCAAATCTAAAAATATAAAATAAATTAGCCAGGCATGGTGACATGCACCTGTAGTCCCAGCTGCTCAGGAGGCTGAGATGGGAGGATCTCTTGAGCCCAGGAGTCCAAGGCTGAAGTGAGCTGTGATTGCACCATTGCATTCCAGCTTGGGTGACAGAGCAAGACTCTGTCTCAAATAAATAAATTAATTAATAAAAAAGATATATTGAAGCCTTTACCCCCAGTAATTCCAGAATGCAAGCTTATTAGTATATAGAGTTGTTGCAGATGTTATCGGTTAAGATGAGGTGATATTGGGGCTGGGTGAAACTTCTGCCTCAGGTGACTGCCCCATTGACTCTCTCACCAGCAGCTGCAAGAGAGTTCTGGTTGTTCCATATCCTTGCCGACACCTATTATTTTCTGTCTCCTTATTTTAGTCATGCTGGTAGGTGTGTAAGTGGATTACACTGTAGTTTCAATTTGCATTTTCCTGATGATTAATGGTGTCAAACACTTTTTTGTATATTTCTTGGCCATTTGAATTGCTTCTTTTGTGAAGCATCTGTGCAAGTATTTTTCCCCTTTTCTGTGGGATATCAATCTTATTTTTGTTGGTTTACACGAGTTCTTCATGTGTTTTGGTTAAGAGTCCTTTTTCAGATATATGAATTGCAGTTCTCATAACAGTGTCTTTTGATGATATGAAGTTTTTTGTTGTTGTTGTTTTGTCTCATTTGTTGAGACAGGGTCTCGCTCTGTCACCCAGGCTGGAGTAAAATGCTGTGAACTTGGCTCACTGCAACCTTGGCCTGCCAGGCTTCAGCAATCCTCATGCCTCAGGCTCCTGAATATCTGGAACTACAGGTGTGCACCACCACAGCTGGATAATTGTTGTAATTTTTGTGGAGACAGGGTTTTGGCATGTTGCCCTGGCTGGTCTCAAACTCTTGGGCTCAAGTGATCTGTCCACCTCAGCCTCCCACAAATGCAGGGTTAATGATTTGTGTTTTGTTTAAGAAATCTTTGTTTAAGCTGAGGTCATGAAGATGTTTTTTGTGTTTTCCTCTAAAAGCATTATTGTGTTCCCTTTTGCATTTAGATCTCCAGGCCATCTGAAATTTATTTTTGTATGTGGTGTGAGGCAGGGGTAAGGCTGCTTTCTTTTTTCCATTTGGATATCCAGTTGACTCAGCAATGGAAAAGACCACACCCTACCAGCCCCCCAGCCCCACATCTCAGCCTTGTCTTTGTTATAGATCAGGTGACTGCACAGATGGCAGTGGCTTCTGGACTCTCTTAGGTTCTGCCCGTCAATTTGCCTATCCTTATACCAATGCCACACTGTCTTAATTTCTTGTTCTTGTTTTCAAGGGTGATCTACTTGTTTGGTTCTCCTTGGTGGATCTGGTGGTCTCGGATACACTTTTCCCTTGATTTTAGTTTAAAGCCCTGAACCATTTTGTTAGAACTCCATCATATCCCAACTGTGTAACCTGGCCTCAGTTCATCTCATTGTACCATCTTCAACATAGAAACACAAATTCCTATCTTAGAGAGTCGCTGGGAGAATTAAATGAGATAATGCAGCTGTTGTGCTTGGCACATAGAAAGCATTTAGTAAAGGTTAGTGATTTTGTAGTTTAGTGGTTGGAGGTACAGCACCTGGAGCGAAACTGCCTGGATTCAAATCTTGGTTCCTTCACGTTGAAATGTGTGACTTTGGGAGAATTACTTCATGTGGGCCTACTGTCTTTAAAATGAGGATACTTGTAGTGAACGCTGGAGCTTAGAATGTGGATGAAGTGCACACAGCAGTTCTCAGCTTTGTGCTCATGGGGGAAGACAAAGATAATGACAATTTCCATGCAACATCTGGAGGATACAGGACCAGGCACCCCGTCTAGACTCACCTGTGACTCACCCACATACCAGGCTACTCCTGCATGCCAGGGCATTCCGCCTGGAAGTGCTGAGTCCATATGTGTGAGGGGCACTCCGTTTTCTGGCATGTGGTGGGCAATCACTCCACTGACATTGCCTCTTAGAATCTTCCTCCTGTTGATCAGAGTGTCCTGGCCCCTGTGAGCTTGATTTTGATTTTTAGCAGCTGCAGTCCTTGTGCCTTATGGATAGCACAGTAAATCTTTTTAAAATATATATATATATATTTTTTCTGTTAGGTGAAGCACATCTATTTGTGAGGAAGGATTTTCCTCTGAGCCCTTGTTCCCTTACTCTTCTGCTTGTGCCGCTGGTGTTTTCATAAGCTCAGTGCTGATTTCTTTCTGAATATCACTGCCCCTCGTACACAGGTGGTCTGATTCTGCCTTCTGCCCCAGTGAGGGTGGGCTGAGCCCCCTTCCAGAATGACAGAGCAGGTGACTGCAGCACGCTTAGTGCAGGCTTTGTGCCTGATGGGATGGTGTCTCCTTGGGGATGTGTGTCCCAGGCAGGTGCCCCAGGATGGCTCAAAGGGAGGGCCTAGAGCAGAGTCAACAGCCTTTCAAGTGGGACCCACCAGGAGGTGTCATCTCCAGGGCTCATTAAGGTGTGTCCAGGCTCTCAGATTTCCTTGGAAACCAGAAACTAAAGGCAAAGTTGGGGGAAGGGTCTTCTGGCATCTTCCTGTGGGAGCAAATGTGGGCGGGAGCAGCTTCCCCCTCTGCTGCATGGCTTCACCACTCCCGCCCTGCCACCTCCCTGTACCCCTCAGCCTTCCCACTCCCCTCCCAGCTCTGGCTCAGGCTGCCCTTCTTCTTGCTGATTCCTTGCTCTAGTGCAGGGTTTCTCCAGTGGCTCCCCATGACACGCCCAGGGTGACATGCCAGTGTGTGTCACCAGAGCTGCCCAAGCACAGCCCTCTCATAGAAGGCAGTTACAGCGAGCCTGGGGGATGGGCCCTGTGGGCTGTGTGGGGAAGGGCGTTAGCACAGTGACTGTGACCAGCAGGCAGGATGGGTGGGTGGAGGCCCAGGAGGAAGGAGAAAGGAGCAGGGAGCAGCAAGACAGGGGGGAGCAGCATGGGAGTGGGAGAAGCTGAGCGTGGGTTCTGGGAGGGATGGGGAGGGGCAGCCTGGGAGCGGGAGAAGCTGAGTGTGGGTTCTGGGAAGGATGGGGGGAGCAGCGTGGGAGGGAGAAGCTGAGCATGGGGTCTGGGAAGGACAGCAGGGAGCAGCGTGGGAGGGAGAGGTTGAGCGTGGGGTCTGGGAAGGGCAGGGGAGGAGCAGTGTGGGAGGGAGAGGCTGAATGTGGTGTCTGGGTAGGACAGGGAGAAGCAGCCTGGGAGGGGGAGGCTGATTGTGGAGTCTGGGAAAGACAGGGGAGGAGCAGCCTGGGATGGGGGAGGCTGAACATGGGGTCTGGGAGGGATGGGGGAAGCAGCCTGGGATGGGGAGAAGCTGAGCGTGGGTTCTGGGAAGGACAAGGGCAGAGCAGGTGGAAGGGAGAAGCTGAGTGTGGGGTCTGGGAGGGATGAGGGAGGAGCAGCGTGAGAGGAAGAAGCTGAGCCTGGGGTATGGGAAGGACTAGGGGGGAGCAGTGTGAGAGGGAGAAGCTGAGTGTGGGGTCTGGGAAGGACTGGGGAAGAGCAGCTGGGAGGGAGAAGCTGAGTGTGGGGTCTGGAAAAGACTAGGAAGGAGCAGCGTGAGAGGGGGAGAAGCTGAGCATAGGGTCTGGGAAGGACAAGGAGAAGCAGTGTGGGATGGGGAGAAACTGAGGATGAGGTCTGGGATGGACTAGGGAGGATCAGTGTGAGAGGGAGAGGCTGAGTGTGGGGTCTGGGAAGGACAGGGAGGAGCAGCGTGGGAGGGGGAGAAGCTGAGTGTGGAGTCTGTGAAGGAAAGATGTCTGGGTTGGATTTCTTCATGGTGTTCCCTGTAAACCGCAGGGAGGTTTAACAAGGAAATTGACAGTGAAGAACTACAATTCCTCAAGTCCCTCAGCTCTGATTTGGCTTCCTTTGAAGGGAAGTCTGTGCATGGACTGGGCCATCTGGACCCCTGAAGATATTTGGGTTACAGTGCTAGGCCCTGGATTGAATTCCTGTTTAGTAGAGTTCATTGGTTACTCACAGCCACCTCTCCAGCCTCCCCCCGCTTAGATCCCCATCAAGCTGTTGCCAGAATTACACCCCAGCCTCTTTGCAGATGCTGCTTGCCCCTGCTTGCCTGGCCAGAACCGTTGGAGACTCACAGCTGGCTCTGGTCTCCTTTCTCTCCATCCTCCTGCCCCAGGTAGGACCAGAGTCCTCCTCCCCAGGGCCAGGCACAGGGGGATACCTTGTGTATACTCTAGTGTGACTGGCAACGACTTGTTCCCCCAGGGCCGACGTGAGCACATGTGAAATAAGGAAGGGCTCAGCGTGCCTCGGAGGGGCCGCCCCTACCCAGGGGTTGCCATCCTTGGTGTTTTTGCTGTTGTGGGGACAGTGTTGACATTTCCAACTGAAAGTTTTGCCTCCATGCCCCCAATCCAGGATCTGCCACGAGGAAACCCCTTCCCTCCTGCTGTGCCAGCTCAGCAAATATATTTTTTCTTCCTTATGATTTTCTTTCCTCTATCTTTTTATTTTTGTTTTTAAAGACAAATTCTCACTCACCTAGGCTGGAGTGCAGTGGCATGATCCCAGCTCACTGCAACCTCTGTACCCTGGGTTCAAGCAATCCTCCCTCTTCAGCCTCCTGAGTAGCTGGGACCACAGGCATGCACCACCATGCCCGGCTAATTTTTGTATTTCTTTTTTGCAGAGAAGGGGTGTTGCCATGTTGCTCAGGCTGGATGCCTCTGAGTCTCTCTGACAGTGCTCTGGAAGCGGCCACAGGGGCCTCTCAAACACACTCCTTGGGCCTGCCCTGCACCGTCACCGCGTCACCGCAGGAGACAGGATCTCAGAGGAACGCAGCTCTCAGCACCCTCCTGGCAGCTGGCATAATTGGGACTGATCTTGTTAGAGGGAGACAGCTAGCTCAGTTGACAGTTTTGTGTTCACAACTTCATATATTTGGTTAAAAGACGCAGGGAAATATGAGATGCGGAAGCAAAATGGCTCACAGGGGCTGCTCGAATGCCCCGCGGCCTTAGGAGACTCTTTCTCAGCTCACGGAAGGGCTGGGAGGCAAGGGAGGGATGGCGAGGGGTCGCTCTTGCTTAGTAACACCCAGAGCAGGGTGCCAGCGAGGGGTCACCCTTGCTTACTAATACCCAGAGCAGGGTGCCGGCGAGGTGTGGTGTCACCAGACGTAGACCACACTGGCCTGCCAGCCTCCTTGCCTGTGGCCTCGAGGGTCCCTTATCCCTGCAGCCCGGTCCACCAGGGACTCGCAGTGATGCTCACAGCACAGGTTAAACAGGAGCTTGTGCTCACTGCCTTCCCAAGCAGCCTGGTCAGCTGGGACTCAAAGAGCCCATCTTGCCCAGAGCCTCCCAGAACCGAGCCTGTACTCTAGGTGACCTGAGGGCTGAAGGCAGTGTGAAAGGGAAATAAATCTTGGGACCCCAACATCACTACACAAAGGGAAAAATCAAGCTGGGAACTGCTGTGGGCAAACCTGCCTCCCTATTCGAAGCCATCCCTCTGCTCACTGAGAGACATGCGTATCTGATTGCCTTCTTTGAAAAGGCTAATCAGAGACTCAAAAGAATGCAAGTTTGTTCTTCACCTGCCTGTGACCGGGAAGCCCCCTCCCTCCTTCCAGTGGTCCTGCCTTTCTGGACGAAACCAATGTACCTCTTACACATATTGATTGATGCCACACGCCTCCCTAAAATGTATAAAACCAAGCTGCACCCTGACCACCTTGGGCATCATGACTTTCTGAGGCTGTGTCATGGGCGCATGTCCTTAACTTTGGCTAAATAAACTTCCTAAATTGACTGAGACCCATCTCAGATATTTTGGGTTAACACCAGGGTCAAGACTTCGCTCACCCTGGCCTGTCCTGCCTGTCATCCTGTCCCTTCCTGGACCTGTGGGGTGGGACCTGGGGCTTGGCTTAGCCCACAGCCTCCCACCCTCCCCCCATAGCTGTCACATATGTGAGCCCCCAGAGAGCCTGTGCCATTGTGAGAAGGGTCATTTGTACAGTGCCTGCGTGGGGCCTCGCAGTGGGTCTGTCCCTCCTTACCACATCAGCCACCGAGCAGAGGGACCCTGTGTGCCACAGTTCCTGGGTCCTCATGGAGCCCTGGGCCACAGCTGGACATGGGGCCAGGAATGCTGGTGTCTTCCCTGGGCAGATGCGGTCAGAAGAGAGGGAACCATTGTCCCCATCGTAAGAACCACTGAGAACCAATGCCAGAGAAAGACACGTGCAGTCTTAGGGGAGGGGATGGCTGCAGGGAGGAGGATGCCTGACCATGAGCTCTGCAGGCGTCTTGAGGGTTGGGACAGGGGTTTTCTCTTACAGAAAGTGGTCGGCAAGGCTAGAGGCATGAGTGTTGGGAGATGGGATGACGGTACCCGTGGGACAGTGGAGCAGAGTTCCTCCCGGAACCACCCTGGCCTCTGAGGGGCTGTCTGCTGCCTCCAGTTGGGGCCTCAGCTGAGGACCTGGAGGGCGGCGCCATGTTAACCCAAGCCTGGGTCACAGGCATCCTGTGGGGCGGCTTAGTGGGAGGAGCAGTCAGGGGGATTGTTCACCAGGCAGAGGGACTGGGGAGTCTTGGGTTGGCCTTGCCCCGGTAAACCAGGGGGTGTTGTGAGTCTTGCCTGAGTCCCATGGGGAAGCGGTTCCTTTCAGGAAGCCGTTTTCAGGAACACAGAGTGGGGCCATGTCCGAGCCTGTGCTGGGTCCAGGAGCCCAGGGCCCCGGTGAAGTTCAGTATCGGTGCAGAAAACATTTAGAACTTGTTTTCACATCAGCTGTCACATGTAATTTTCACCACAGCTCTTCAGGGTCCAGGTTCGAGATCCCATTCTAGGAACAGTGCAGCTTAGGAGCAGAGAGAGAAAGCGACTCATCCAAGGCCACCCGAACAGGAACGGGGGCTGGGCAGGAATCCCGGACCCTTCCAGCCTCGTCTCAGGACCCCTGCTTGGTTGCTGAGGGTGAGTGGTCTGTGGAGGGCACGGCCCTGAGCAGCCTGAGGGGAGCTGGCGGCAGACATGATCCTCATGGTGGAAAGCAACACATGTCAAGGTGGCATGTGTGCCTGGCCTCTGTGAGTCTGGATCCTCAGGGATCCACCCAGCCGGGGCCTGGTGTGGCCTCAAAGGTGGAGGCTCAATGCGGCCCTGATGCTGGTCCCGAGAAACCGTGGGACTGAGGAACAGCCAAGTGTGGAGCCTCTGAGGGAAAGGCAGGCAGCTGGGGGCTGCAGGAGGCAGGGCAAAGCTCTCACCCAGAGTCAGTGCCTCGGCCACCTCTGAGCCCACTGCCGGTGGGCGGGCCCCGCTGACCTCCCAGCGTATGTTCCAGCCACTCCCACCCTTTCCCAAGTCTGAACGTCACTCAGGTGGAGGATGAGCCTGTTTCCAGAGGCTTGGGGCTACGGCAGGTGGCCCGGGCTTGGGAAGTGAGGCTGATCGTACCTGTCCAGTCCAGCCCTGCCTCCTATTCACCCACAGAGGGGCTGGCGTCTGCTGCTTCTCACGGCCTCGGTTCTGGATGGCTGACAGCCACTCAGTCCCCTCCAACCTCCAGAGTATCCTCGGGCCTCAGAGCCACCGTGCTTCCTGTGCCCTTTACCTGGAATGCCCTTCGTGCTTCATGTCTCCCTCGTCTCCTCGGATGCCGCCTTTTTTGGAGAGGCCTTCCCCACCGCCTCTCCCAGAAGAGAAGCCCGTTTCTCCCTCCAGGACCCAGTTCTGCCTTACGTGTAGCACTTATCCCCTGACGTGCAACAGCTCTTTGTTGATGTTTCCTGTTCGTCTCACCCGGCTAGAATGTGTGCTCCTCTGTCTAATTTGTTCCTGAGGTATACCCAGCACCTCAATCAACACCTGGTGTTGGTGAGTGCTTGCTAAGTGTTTGTTAGTGAATGCATATTTGTTGAATGAATTTGTGGGTGGCTGGATATGTGAGGAAGAGATGGAAGGAGGGTTCAGGAAGTGGCCTGGATAGTTGGAAGGGGTGGACGGATGACAGGTGAAGAGATGGGTAGATGGATGGGGGGCAGTCACTATGGATGCTTGCCTGGGGTGTTGGATGGATGGGTGGATGATGGGGTGGGGGGAGGAATGGTTTGGCAGGTGGATAGCTGATAGATTGATGGACAGATGGGTAGGTGGCTGGTTAAATGGATGGGTGATAGTTGGTTTGGTGATGTGTGAATAGGAAGATCAGCCAGACTGACAGATGGCTGGTGGATTAGTTGGTGTGTGGTTGTATTACTGAAGAGGTGGTTTGGGTTAGGGTGGATGGGTGAATGGATTCCTGGTTGAATAAAGGAGCTGATCAATGAATCTTTTGCTGATTGGATGGAGGTACTGGTTGCTATTGGATTGATGTGGCAAGCAACTGGATAACTAGTTGCTAAGTGTGTGTTGGGTAAATGAAGGGCACGTGGGTGTTAGGTTGACAGGTGGGTTAGGGTGAGTGGCTGGCTGGATGTGCATGGAGAATGGGTACGCAGGTAGGTGGATGGTTTGATGGCAATGAATGGCTAGTGGGTAGGAGGACTGTTAGGTTGTGCTTGTGGGAGATGGTGGGTGGCACTGGAGGAGCTGGGCATTGGCCAGTGTGTGTGTAGATGGATGGTGAGGGGGCTGCACTGGCAGGTGTTGGTGTGGGGATAGACTCATGGAGGATGAATGGCCGTGTGTAGATGGATAATGAGGGGGATGTGCTGGCAGCTGGATGAATGGTCATGTGGCTGGCTGGCTGGACTGAGCAGTGGGTGACCCCATCCTACAGTCCATCTTGTAACCCGCCCTGCACCTGGGGGCTCACAGGATCAGTCCCTGCCAAAGCCGAAGTGTCCTGCCTCCCAGCTCCTTTCCTGTCCTCCAAGGACACTTGTGGTTGAGGGTCTGTAGGACTCTTCGGGACCCTCGTTCTTCTCAGGAAGCCCCAGGTCAGCACAGATCCTCAGCGGGAGTTTTCTGGAGCTGAACCCCGCCTGTGAGAGGCCAGAGCTCCTGCTGGGGAGTTTCATGGGAGGGGGGCTAGGAGCAGCCACTCAGACCAGAGGCTGATGGAAAACCCTGGAGCTGGTGCTCCCCCCGTGGGGGTCCTAATGAGAGTGAGGGATCGATTTGGCATGTCCTGATGTGAACCTACTCTCCCAGCATCTGAGCTGCAGCCAGGCCCGCTTGCAGGAGATGCTGGCCAGGCAGAAAAAGGATGCTAATTCCTGTTTAAAAGTCAGGGATCTGGAAACCAGTGCTTCCTGGAGAATCCAACAGCAAAAACTGGGGTGATGTGGTTGCACCACTCTAAGCGGGGCTGGAAGTTGCCTCCCAATGCTAACGTTAACCTTAACTGATGAGATTCTGACCAGCTCTGTCTGGAAGGTTCTGAGACTCGTCTCGCTGCGTCTCCGCATGCAGCTGTCACTGTGCCCCTCCCTCCCTCCCACGGTGCTGTCCCCACCTCACCTGGGGTGGCAATGTGGGTGCACTCTGGCGGGAGCAGCACCACTCCCACCCCCTCCTGAGCTGCGTCGGCTGGCTGGGGTGGGGGTGTCTGGGGCTGAACACCTGCCTCCTGGAAGGATGTTGGAGGCCAATGGGCTTGGTGGGGGGTCCCTTCCCTGTGCCCCTTCCAGCTGGCAGAGCACCAGCCCCTTGTCAGAAGGGCAGCCTTCACCTTGTGACTGCCTGGGAGCTGTATGGAGTGGGCAGGAGTGTGCTTGCAGGTGTGTGTGTGAAATCGTCCCCATAAACTTCATAAAATTAACCAGGGAAGAAGGGAGGGGGAGAAACGAAAATGAACTCAGCCTGGCGCCCTCACACTCGTCCCTGGGTGGTCATGCTCTGACAGGCTGCCTCAAGCCTGTCTGCTGCCTGTGGCCCCAGAGTCACACAGGCCTGGCCACAAGTCCACTGCCTTCTCGACTGCTCTGCAGATGAGCGCTGGGAACGTGTGTTTCCCTTTGAGATTCCCCTTCAGGCCCTGCGTGCCGAGGAAGCTCCTGATGCCAGCCAGCCCGTAGGACCCTGGAGGACCTGAGCTGCCGAAGAATCATCAAGTCCCCACATCTTGAAGATTTCAGCCCCTTACCCCAGCCAATCAGCCAACCCAATTCTCCAGCCTCTCACCCCCCAGATCCCCTTAAAAACCCCAGCCTGGAACTCTTTAGGGACAGGGATTTGCAGCTCCCTCCCACCCCCTCACTCACTGCCCTGTGATCAATACGCCCTTTCTTTGCTGCAAACCCTGCTGTCTCCACGTCAGGGGTGTGTTACAGCGCTGTGGGCATACACATCTGCTGGTCCTGTAACACATGTGCGTGCCTCCTCCATTGGACGGGCTCCTTGGGGCGGGCCTGGAGTGTCTGTCGAGTGCAGGAACGCCGTCTCCACTGCAGCCTCTGAGCTCATCTGGTGAGCATTGTCTACTTGATTAGGTTATTTCAGAGGCGTTTTCTCGCTTGGTCCTCCCAGCTACCAGTAAGGAAGGTACTAAAAACCTCAATTACATTTATATTTGGGGAAACAGAGGCTCAGCAGGGGACATGACAGAGCAGAAGGCAGACCCCAAGACAGACCAGCAGGCAGCAGGAGAAGCAGGCTTGGGCCCTGGCTCCCTCTGAGTCCAGAGTCCCTTTCTGGGCTCTTCACTTGGAGCCCAGTGCAGTGCTGACAACAGGCATCAACTCATGGAATCCCCAAACCAGCCCATTTTCTGGGGAAACTGAGGCTTAGAGCTGCGCCTGAGCCTGAACTGAGGCTGCAAAGGCAGCACACACAGATGCAGGGCCCTCTGCTCCAGAGCCTGGCTGTGGTGATGCCTCGAGGCATTGGCCCACCCCACAGCCCTGCTTTGCTGCTGTGGAGCTAGGGGTGTGGGAAGGGGCCTCGGGCCCGGGAGGGTGGGAGGAAGAGGCCCTGTGCAGCCTGCAGGTGAGACCCTTCTCCCGCTGCCAGCCTGCCCACCAAGCCACCCTCAGAACATCACTCAGTAACTCTGCCCAGAAACTGGAAAGATAATTGGGTCATGGCAAAGAGTGAATTATTCCTCCGGAGAAAGTTTTAAAATGCATGAGCCCTCAATGGCAGAGAGAGAGGCAGTTATGAAGCTCAGAGGCAGTCTTGGAATTGGAGCCACAGAGTGGCTCCTTCCCTGTGCCTTCCGGGGTTCAGGGAGGAGCTGGACAGGACCCCCATCCGTAAAGGAGCCCCTATTCTGGTGGGAGAGACAGAGACCCAGACATGAGTGCTGGCAATGCTGGCAATATGACCTTTCAGGGCTGTGGGAGGAGAGGGAGAGCCTGGGGCCAGCCTGGAGGGGGAAGAGGAGGGTCAGGGAGCACCCACAGAAGAGGAGATGAGACAGTGAGGGGTGCCTTAGCGGGAGGGAACCATGCAGGCTGAGGCTGGGGTTTAAAATTTCCTAGCATGGTGAGACTCCTTTGAGGACTGCTGAAAGGGAGGGCACCCCAGCTAGTGCAGCGGGCACGGCAGGACCTCGGGCAGCACAGGGAACCCCCTGACCACAGGTGGCCTGAAAGTCGGGATAGGAGAACTCCTACACATGCTTCAGGGCCTTGCTCAAGTGTCCCAAATCCCTCCCAAAGGCTGAGGATACTGCATCTGAGAAATGGGCTTCTGAGGATGTGTCAGACATGGCCCAGGAGGCATCAGCCAGGGCAGGGCTCAGGGGCTCCTACAAGCTGCTCCTGGCTGCTGTGCCCTGCCTGCTGGTCACCCGTCCTGCACTAGGTGATAGGGTCCTGGAGGGCAGCAGGACCATGTCATAGGAGGTGTGAATGGGGCTTTGCTGCAGGCTGTGGGTGGGGACTGGGGCTCCTGGGGGCCGAGGCACATGGCAGGCAGGGGAAGAAGCTGGGGCAGGGTGCAGAGTGTGGGGAGAGCGTGCTCTCCCGGCCCAGGCCTCATCTGGAAATGGGAGGTGATTTTCCAGCACAGGAAGCTCCTGGGCTTAGAGGCTGGACGTTGCCTCAGTGAGCTATGGGCAGTGTTCCTCCTGGGGTGGGGTGGGAGGGGGAACTTATGGCCCCTGGGGACCTTGGGGCCCGGTGGGGTCCAGTGCCCTGGGAGGGTCCCAGTGTGGGGGAAGGAGGGGTCGGGGGGTGGTGTTTAGGCATGCAAAGGGTGGAGATGCCCCTGTAAGTCTGGAGCTGGCAGCACGGGTGTCTCAACTGCAGCCTTTAGGGCCACAGTGGACCAGCAGAGGCTTCACCTCCCTGGGGACCCCAGCAGAGCACGAGGCAGGGGCCTCTGTAGGCCTTGATCCCACTTTTCTCTGGGTGGGCCCGTGGCAGCAGGTGTTTGATGAGCCGGAGATGGGGAGCCTGCCTTGCATGGTCTCGCCCTGCCTGCACAGACGCTCACCCCGCCCCACCCTCCAGGACACTCCGTGGGGCATCGCTGCTGCCCCATGAGGATCCCCCTTGGGGGGTGGAGGTGTGTGGGGGCCAAAGGTGGGGCCTGAGGAGCTGTGTCTGGGGCCTCAGAAGATGCTGGTCCCCTGCCCTGTCTACACAGCCTGGCTGTCCTGGGGGGATGGGGAGACAGGACACAGGCCACGGGTCTGTGCGGGCTGCTGTGCGGCTGGGGAGAGCCAGCACCCCGAGGGAGGAGGTGGCTGCTGGGGAGGAGGATGAAGCAGGAAGGGGTCACCCCACTGAATGGGGTGTGGGTGCAGTCCCTTTGTCCTGAAGCCACACATGCCTGGTTCGTGGCCTTTGACTCATGCTGGTGATGGTCACCATGTGTCCAGGACAGAGCCTGGAAGATTAAGAGCGTGTTTAATTTTTACCACTGGCCAGTGATGCTGGTGTTTTCAGAGGGGAACTGAGGCCTGTGGAAGGGAAATAGCTGACCGGGGGCAGAACACTGCTGGCCAGTGACAAAGGGAGGGACCTACACTGGCCGTGTGCCTCTAACACGTGTCCTCCCACGTGGCACCACCCACAGCGACCCCAGCCCCCTTGCCTTTCTTCAGCACCTGTCATGGGGCCAAGAATCCGAGACTGGGCTGGTGACCGGGCTGTGACCACAGGCCCCTCCTCTCCGGCTGGGGCCCATGTCTTCAGGTTCATGCAGGTCCAGACGGGTCAAACAAACACAGCTCGCCCACGCAGGGTCATCTTGAAGCTGAGGATGGAACTTGAGAAAACATGTTTCTTTGTTTGGCAATTAGGTCTGTGGAGGGTTCTGAGGGTTTGGAGACATTTTCTTCCTGGAGAGGGCCCTCGTTCCTCCCAGGTATTTGACTCCCACTCCCTGCGAAGCCTCCGAGAGCCGTGCTGGGCTCTCCTTCCTCGGCCGCCTCCTCTCCAGGGCAATAGCCCTACTGAGTCCTTGCTCACCTCCAAATGACTCTTCTGTGGAACTTTCCAGTGGAGAAGGAGGAGGGAGAGGAGAAGCAGGGAGCAGCCCGGCCTTCCTCCTCTGTGCCCACTGCCCTCCTGCCATGGGCCCTGTCTGGGCACCCACTTAGGGGTCTCCAGCCTGACTGGTGGCACTGCGGCCTCCCCATGGCTCTAAGGGTGTCTGGGGTGTCCAGGAGACACAGATGGAAACAGATTGACCTCAGTTCTGCAGTGCCTGCTCCCGACACTATATGTTCAGGGTTAGATGGTGTCCCCCGCAAAGTCATGTTCATCCAGAACCTCAGAATGTGACCTTATTTGGAAATAGGCTCTTTGCAGGTGGAATTAGTTCAGATGAGATACGGGGGTAGGGTGGGCCCTGAACCTGGTGACGGGTGTCCTCACAGGAAGAGGGAAATCCAGACTCAGACACAGAGAGGAGGAGGAGGAGGCTGAGACGACAAAGCAGACAGTGGGGTGATGCGGCCACAAGCCAAGGATGCTTGGAGCCACCGGTAGTGGAAGACGCAGGAAGGGTGCTCCTGCAGAACCTTCAGAGGCAGCGCGGCCCTGCCCGCACCTCCATCTGGGACGTGGGACTCCAGACTGCGAGGGAGTGGACACCCGTTGTTGAAGCCCTGTGTGGGCACCCCTATCACGGCAGCCCTGGGATTCCTCAACTGTGCCCTGTCACCTCTCACCCTGCTGCTGGAGAGGCTCGGTTTGCTCCTGGAAGTCGTGACTGTGAAATGTGGATGTTTTGCTGTGACGTCCATTGCTACTCTCATGCTGGGGTCCTGCTCTCTCTGTCCGGGTTCCGTCACCGCTGAGCTGGACATCAAGGCCGAGGATCTTCTCAGTGGGCAGAAGTGTGTCTCTACAAATAGTGCCAGGTCCTTTTCATTATCCTCCCTGGTCCCTCCCCTCCCCTCCCCTCCCCCTTCCCCTCCCTCCCTCCTTCTCTCCCTCCCTCCTTCCATGTCTGGAGAGGACCCCGGCTTGGAGCAGGCATGCTCTGCTCTGTTGTGAGGCAGATCTCGGGCCTCCTCACTCACCGTCCCACTCGCCAGGAGTCTGGAGGGCATGCTTGGGGGCTCTCAGTTGGGGTCTCTCATTGGGTGCCCTCGGGGGCTGCTGCCATTGAAAGCACTCTGGGGTGGGAGGCCGGCAGTGTTTGCTAGGGGTGGGAGCTCAGCTGGGCTGCCAGAAGGTGTCCCCACATGGGAACCCCTGGATGGGGGGCTCAGATGGTGGCTGTCCCCTGCAGAGAGATGGCCCAGGAGAGTGACGTGGGCTGCCTGCTGCTCTGCACCGGCCTGGACATGGCAAATCACTGTGCTGTGTCCACTTTCCAGTGTGGGGCCTTGAGCACTGCCAAGAGGTTTTGCCCCAGGGGCTTCCAGGAGGCCTTGCCATCATCAGTGCATGATACCACCTCCCTGGGTCTGAGGCTGCTTCCTGGAGTGCATGGGTCCCTCCGAGGGACTAGGACTGGCAGATACTCAGCGTCCACAACTATGAACACCTGAGCAGAGGCGGGCTGGGATCCAGGCCCAGCTTGCTGGAAGCTTCTCCATGGGATCTCTCAGGATCCCCATTTTCTCCTGTACCAGTGAAGAAAACCAGCATCCACCCACCACAGAGCCCACAGCTCAGGCTCCTGGCCCAGTGGCCTGGTGATGCCTGGAGACCAGGCTTTGTCTGCTGGTCATTGCTAGAGGCCCCTGGCCACTCTCACTTGATCTCCCACGTGGAACTTCCTGCAAACTCTTGAGCAGAGGCGCAGTGGCCACCATTGCCGACATTTCAGTCAGCAGGACTGTGGGCCTGGAGGGCCCCGGGGGCTGAGGTTGCAGAATCGGGGTCTCAAAGGACCCCACCGACATCCAGTCCAACACTTCCTGCTGGAGTCCGAGGACACTTTGAGCTCCGCCTGGAGCTGTCTACCGGCCCCTCAGAGGGGGTGATGCTGGATGCAGCTCTGGCCACTTGCAATGTGGCTCCAGGGAGGCTGTCTCTGGGGTCTCCCCTAGAAAGGTCAGGAAAAGGGGCCAGATATGTGTTCAGGGGTCCCCAGAGAGTTGAGGGAGACTAGCATCTCCTTAGGGTAAGGAAGGCAAAATGCCCATTCCTGATCCCAGATTGCTTAGATACTGTGCCTGGGAGTCCTCCCACCTCGCCTTAATTCCTATCTCCACTCACAGCTTGGCCAAGTTTCTTCCCCTGTTGGAGTCTCACTCCCAATCCCCTACTCTATCTCTCCAGGAGCCTACAAAGCACTTTGAAATGTGAAGTTTGTGGGAGGTGGCTGTATCCCACAAATACTCTGAGGTGCAACATGACTTGACTGGTAATGAGGCAACCATCCCACCTAGGGCAGAGTTCAAGGAGTGCCTTCAAGAGGGGCTGGCCTCAGTTTGCCTGTTACAGAAGCCAAGGGCTAACAGAGGCTGCCCTCTGCCTCACAAAGAAGGAGATAAATGGGTCCACTGGAGAGCAACGGTCACAATCAAGTCTTAATGATGAATTAATAATTCATAATTACCCCAGACTTGCAGATAAGCACAAGCCCACTGGAATTATTTCCCAGGGAGGAACACACTCAGAAAGTGTGAGAAGGGGACTTCAGTATAGATGTTACTTCCAGAGGCCGTTAAGTTCATTCCTCTGCTTCCCAACCAGAACCTGGAAGAGATCCATTAGCTTCCTTGGCTGATTCCTCCTAACAGCTACCACCCCCTGAGCTACTAAACAGTGCCATATTGCCCCTCTGTTCTTCATAAGGCCAGAGGACCATTCCTGCCAAAGTGACCTCAGAGCCTGGACTCTGGATTTCTGGGGTCTCTCTGTTCTCTGCTCCCCATTCTGCTATTTACATATGAGGTCCCCTGTAGGAGGGCCTGGTGCTAGGTGTCCCGGCGAGATGTGGACATCTTTCTGGCTCTTCTCCTTCTCTTATCTAAGTCCTCACATGGTGGGAAAATACCTCTCTAATGTTATGTAGAAAGAGAAGGAGGGAGTGCCCCTTCTAGCGTGGATGCCTTTGGTTCCCAGATCTGGATTTGAGGGGCTGGCTCTATCTCTTAAGAAGACATTTACCTAGCATTGGTAATGGAGATGGGGCCTTAATAGGGCTAGGGAGGCACACCCAACTCCAGACACAGCTCTCTGCTGTTCCCCTTCCCAGTGCACACAGTCCCAATTCCCACTCCAGAAAATTTTTTAAAAACATATCTTAAAAAAAACCTCAAAGAGCCAAGCAGACCCTCAGCTTCAAGGTATCTCCTCATTCTCTCTCTCTCTCTCTCTCTCTCTCTCTCTCTGAATCTACAAAGAAGGAGTGAGTTTTGTCTCTCCAAGTACTCAGAGCCTTAGATCACGAAGGGGCCTTAGATCCTGGTCTTTAGGAGGCCTTTGACCACCATCTCTGCTGTGGCACGACCTTTGTCAAAACGCTAGAAAGAAGAGAGACTGGCTCTTAGACCAAGGGGATTTGGGATTCAAAAGGACTTCCAATTCCAGTTCTATAGATTTCCTTCCCATTAGCCTCTTCATGTGCATCAAATGTAAATGGCAGGCTAAACATACAGGATGAAGAGAGTTGAAAGACTGCTGCCTAAAAATACCCTTTTCCAAATCTGTGGGTGCAGAAGCACATTGAAAAGCAGCTACCCAACCTGGTGGTGTGGCACATGTCTGCAGTCTCACATACTTAAGAGGCTAAGGTGGGAGGACTACTTGAGCCCAGGAGTTTGAGGCTTCAGTGAATTATGATGGTGCCACAACACTCCAGCCTGGGAAACAGAGCTGGACCCCATTTCCAAAAAAAAAAAAAAAAAAGTAGTTACCCAGGTAAGGTGGATGATCAAGTACACCCAGTGAGAAGCACACAAACCTTACCCTTTACCCAAACTCTCTCCCTTACCTGGCCCATTTCTGGTTTCTGGAGGAGGATCAGTTAGGGGGTGTGACCCAAGTTACCCAGATAATTAACTGTGGAAGCACGAGTTTTTTTTTCACTCCTTTGACCTCTACATATGAGAGATCTTTACATCTCTTGCCTAGCTCCCTCTTATTATCTACCCTCTCCCCAACACACACGCAAATCCTAACAACAAAAAGCCTAAATATAGGAAGACAAACCTTCCTGACCTACCATTTTGGCCCACCTGCAACCCCTGTCCCCTGCCCCCACCCCCCAATTTTTTTCTCTCCTGAGCCTCTGCTCTTTGCTTCTAAAATAAAAAAAAAAAAAAGAAGAAGAAGGAATTTTCAATAGTCCAACTTGTCAAGCGAAGACCATCTTTTAACCTTCAACAGCAGCCAAAGCCGTGTGAACTCTTGGTGAACCAAGATTGAAGTCATAAATCACGTGTACAAAGGCGGCTGCGGAGTCTGGCGCGGGCTGCTGCACCTTTAATGCTTTCTGGGGCTTACAGGCGGCGGCCCAGCTAAAGTTCACAGCGCCCGGGGAGGGCCCGCCTCCGCCTCCCCTCCCTCCCCCGCCTCCCCTCCCTCCCCCGCCTCCCCTCCCTCCCCCGCCTCCCCTCCCTCCCCCGCCTCCCCTCCCTCCCCCGCCTCCCCTCCCTCCCCCGCCTCCCCTCCCTCCCCCGCCTCCCCTCCCTCCCCCGCCTCCCCTCCCTCCCCCGCCTCCCCTCCCTCCCCCGCCTCCCCTCCCTCCCCCGCCTCCCCTCCCTCCCCCGCCTCCCCTCCCTCCCCCGCCTCCCCTCCCCCAGCCCGGCCCTGGCTCCGGACCGGTACACAGCGCGGCCGCCTGAGCTGCGAGCTGAGGAGGCCCCTTGGCTGTTCCCGCAAAGGGCGGGGGGCGCATTTTCTCTCCTGCCAGCCCGCTCCATCCTGGTCGTTTATTCCTGGCCTTCCCTCACCCTCCACCCCCACAGCCTGCTGTACGTAAATAGGCAAATAGATCTACACAGACACAATAATTTAGCTTGTTTGGTCTTTGGCATTTTCCTCTCCCCTTCCTCCTTTTAGAAATGGCATCCTTCATCTCTGTCTATGCAGGCCCAATTATCCAGACCCTCAGGGCTCCAATAGGGTCTGAGTCATTGGAACCAGGAACACCTGGCTGAAACATGCCACATAATTAGACTTTCTTTTTCTTCACCTTTTCTTTCTTATTTTTATAAGAGGGCCGGAATTAGCCTCTTCGACTGGGGCGGAGTAGCTGGGGTGTGGGAAAGGAACACCTTCATACAACTTCCAGCTTTCAGCCCCTTGGAGAGATTTCCAAGTTCTCCGGAGCCACCAGGACTTCCTTTCCTTGATCTCTCGGCCACCTCCTCCTCCTTCTCCGATTTTTTTTCCCTCCCCCCGCTGTCTTCTCTACGGTTTAATTAAAGTTCAGCGACTCCACTTGTCTCTCCTCTCATTTCTTTCGGAAAGCGGAAACCAGACGACCCAGCGGCCACGGGACGAGCCGCCCCAACTCAACCCCAGCAGGACGCTGGAGGGGCCTCCCTTGCCCACCTCTCTTCGCTGGCACTGGCCTCCCGCACCCGGGTCTGCAGTCCCCCCTCCATCTCGCAGGTGTGCAGCCGCTAGGCCTGGGGGATCCGAATGACTGGGGCTGGATAGGAATGCCTTCGTGTTTCCCAAGACCCAGGGGCCTGCTCCACAAAGTTTGAAGGGTGGGTACACGCCGACCCAGGCAAGTTGCTCCCCCAAACCCATGACTGACTAATCTGATATGACAAAAGCCCATGATGGATTTGGTATATGTTAATTCACAATGCCCTTTCCTCCAGAATTTAACTATAAGTTAATACACACCGGAAACCACGCGCATACACGCTCCTTAATGGGCTTAGGTATTAGCGAATCCTAACGATGCATACAAATGTGTTCTGCGCTCTGTAGACCCCTCAAGATTTATGGGCCTTGAGCTCTCTGAAGCTGTAAACAAGGAGAAAAAAAAAGAGAAAGCGAAAGCGACTGGGGGGAAGAGACAGAGGCCTGACTCACCCCTCCAGGTTTTGGAGAGAAGGGATTCTTTATGTATTTTCCTTTCCTTGCAAGCTCGGTGCGTGTGGGTTTTGGCGTTGGTCTGGGGGTGGTGTTCTGCCTGAATGCTGGTGTGCGTGGGCAGTGTGTTGTTTGCATGCTGGGGTAGGATGCCTGCCTCTTCGGATTGCTGTGCAGGGGCCTGAACACAGCAGGCATTTGTGACCATATATGCGTGAGTGTGCACTGTGTTAGGGTGTGTGTGTGTGTATGTGTGTGTGTGTGTGAGAGAGAGAGAGACAGACAGGGAGAGGCAGGCTTCCCCCTGGGCCAGGCTGCTGTCCCTTGAACGGTGGTGAACAAATCTCTAACGACAATCTTAATAACAATAAATAATGAATAATAATAATAAAACAGTAGTTAACAGTCCCTGCATAACAGAATAACAATAAAATGCAAGAGGAAATATTTTGAGGTGGAGACAGGAGTCAGGATCACAGCATCTGAGGGGGAGATAGGAAAGGAAGGGAGGAAGACAGCTTCTTAATATGCTCTTGGTGGGGCTGCGGTTGGGAACCCCTTTCCCAGACAAGGGACGTAAGAGGAGAAGGAGAGCCAGGAGGCCACTCTTTATTGCTTTTTTTCTCAGGCTTCTGCTTTGTGTGATCAGGGAAGGGATCCCACATATGGGAATGGTTAATGGATTTTGGGACTCTCTAGGAGCCCCTGTTTTAAGAAGGAGGCCAAATGTGCAGGCCCAGGCCAAGCAGCAGAGATGAATGAGGTGATGACCACAGCCTTGATCCGGCAGGAGCTCAGAGATGTCCGGGAAGACGGGGGGCCCGAATGGAAGCAGAAAAACATTTATGGCCGCTGGGAAGTTGGGAGAGCCAGGCTGGGGCTCCGGCAGGCCCAGGGAAAGTTCCCTTTCTAGGCTCTTTATTAAAAAATTTAAAAGGAGGAGTTGAGGCGCCTTGAATTTTCCTTCGCGAGTTTGGAGACCAGCCGATTTTTCATGAAGCAAGCAAAGACCGCGGTCCCGGATCCTGCAACATATACTTCATTTTCTCCAGGTACAGTTTTCTGGTCATTTAATTGGTTTGTTTTCTTGGGGGAGATGGGAATCACAGGCGTAGAGATAGTAAGTTGGCTAGAGAGGAAGCCACCCCACAGTTTCGGGTCTAATGAAATCCCTCCTTTAAAAACATTTGTACCCCCAATAAAAATAAAATTAAAGAGGAATATAGAAACACAAATTAGCCAACTTTTTTAAAAGAGAAAAAAGAAAAGAAAATCATCGTAACAGATGAGCGTGAGAACTTCTAAAAAATTTGTCACGAACCCTTTCAGAGGTCTGGATTCTTTTTCAGTAGCCGGTGACCCATTTGGTCTGAAAAGAGAAATACACTATCCACTGAGTCACTTATTTAAAGCCAGCACACACACACACACACACACACACACACACACACACACGCATTCAGAAAGCCCTGGGTGCCCTCGCATTTGAAAACAACACCGGGTGGAGGATGCTGCGATACCTAATTGGACAAAACAGCAATAAAATAAGACCAGTGGAAGTGCTGAGCACAGGGCGCAGGGCTAGGGCCCAGGTTTTGTGTTCCAGGCCGAGGGCGAGGCAGCGGCCCCGGGAGACGGGGCGCCGGGCGGTCAGGCACCGGCTGGCGACTCTGCTCGGCCTCCACAGCCCGGCCTGCAGCCCCTTTCCCCCAGCCTCTGGGCCTCGTGGGCTCTCTCCGCTCCGACGCCTGTTCGGGGCTTCCCTGTTGAGAGGGTTTTAGGCCGAAGGGCCGAACGACTCAAGCCAGACTCTGCTTTTTCATTTTTCTCCCTTAGGCCTCTCCACTTGCCCAAGCTCTCAGCCACCAAGAGACAGATGGAAGGGGCTTCTGGGCTGTGTTGGGAGCGGGCATTGTCCCCTACCCACTCCTGCACAGTTTCCCAAAGTCCAGCCACCTCCGACTCTCCTTGGGGGAAAAAATACCAGTACCCAGACACCTCTGCACCCTGTTATATGACTGGGCTTGCTTCAGGAATATCTTACAAAGAAGAAGAAGGAGGAGGAGGAACGGCTTGGAGTCATGTTTACATCTAGTTCTACTGATCCGTTCACATCTGGAGAGATTATTTATAACTCCCTCTATAACTCTCTGTTTGGAGGCACTGGTGGCTCTAATGACAGACTGATGTCTAGGAAATATTGCTCTATGTCTAATGGTACCTAAATGTGCTGTGGTTGTATTTACAGATTTACGTTTGCGGGAAATATAATTATTTCCATTGTATTTGTGCATATACAGTAGTTATAGGAGCAGATTTATATATGGGAAAATATGCGACTCCCTTACAGCCATCCGGCTTTATGTACATTTGATATCCTGACAGATTTATATCTCTGAACAGCTATATAGATAAAAACGTATATTGTTAGAATTATGTATCAGGAGATATATACTTATTGATTGCGAAATAGAGTAGTTAGAGCATTCACTTAGAGCCATATATGGCTATGGAGATATTTCTATATTATTATCACTATATATAGGCATATCTATTTATAACTGCATAGTTATAAAAATAGACATAAGTAATTATAGTCCTATAGGTGCATGCTGCAATCTCTCTCTAGAGTTATAGACACTTTCAAATATAACTCTATAGAGAGATCTGTATGTATATAAGGTGTAATTATCCAGTGATGTGTTTACGTTGGGACTTAGGCCCATCTGTCTAGAACAGACACATTTATATGTAGGGGCTGGGAGAGACTTATTCACAGATATCTGCAGAGGGCCAACTGGAAACACTGTATCTGCCCTCTAGGAAACCAGCTAGGAGAGTTGTGTACTTATGGAGGGATGGAGTTACAAAAGGGTAAATAGAGCTCAGGGAGACTTAAGGAGGGGAGGTGAATGGAGGGTGGGTGGGCTCGGTTTGAACAGATAGTGGGAGGAAAGGGGTAAACACCAGCACCCACCAGAAGGCGAGAACCAGTTTTGTGAGGGGCTGGTGCAGATGACTGTGGACAAGGAGCTTGTAAAATGAGAAGCGGCTAACAGTCCTGCCACCTCACCCTGAGACACTCTCCACCGAGGAAGCAGCCTTCAGTTTGGCTTTTAGTGCACTGTAGGATAGGGACTGTCATGTCACTCCTGTAGTCCTAGAGCGTTTCTCTTGAACCCTAATTTTTAGGTCTCAAAGAGTGGGCTTCAGAGATAAAGAGGTTTAGTCAGGGACAGGGCGAGGAGCGTGGGGTGTACTTTTGCTTTCCAATAAGTAAGGTAATCCAGGAAAGTGAGTTAATTTGGCCAAATAAAGCTTGTTTTTATGTGGGCCTCCTGTGCCCTGGTGCGGATGTAGGATGGGACCAGAATCTGGTGGACTGAGGAGTGAATTTCCAAGTATTGGGCCTGCTCTGATGGGGGCTTAGGGAGGTTGTCCTCACCACCCGCCCTCCTTCTCTGAGGCCTGAGTGGCCTAATTCCCTCTGGGTACAGAGGGACTCCTTCAGCTCCCTAACAGTGCTGCCCTGGGTCTTTTCAGGGAGAATTTGACTTTAGGAACAGGGAACATGGACTTACCCCACTAGATCTCACTTCTCCTACTCACAGCTATACCACTCGTACGTCAGCCTCCTTCCAGGCGCCACTCGGCCAGGGGTCCACAGTTCTTCCCCTGCTACCAACCAGCCCAGTGGGGAAATACCTCCCACGACTGACAGTTTTTGTGTTTGTGTGTGTGTGTGTGTTTTTTTTTTAACCAGGAAGTTACAGATAACTTCGTTAACTGCGTGAAGGAATTGTCCTGAACTCAGTCTCTGTGGCCAACCTAGCCTCCAGGATCTCTAGGATGCTAGGAAGGGAGTGGAGACCCTTGGACCAGGCTAACCACCATGTGCCATCCTCCACACACCCCTGCCCACAGGACTAGGAATTCCTGCAGTGCAGGGACTCTGTCTGCTGCCTGGCACAGAATGGTTGCCCAAACATACTTGTTGAGGTAAACGGAATGGCAGTCAATACAAAAACTCACCCTCACTCTGCACACCACCATAGCCACTGCTGGCTAGCAGGCACCCTAGCCAGGCTAGGAGATAACATGGCGGCTGGCAGCAGCCTGGGCTTTGACCGGACCAGTGGTTAGTAGCGTGGGAGAGCATCTTGAGCCTAGGATGGGGCGGGGACTGGAGCAAGGCACCTGGAATCCAGAAATTTGGGGGTAAGCCAAGGCAGACCCACCGCCCCAGTGCACTTCTGCTTTCTATCTCCAGTCTCATGGCTCCCTGGACCCCCAAAAGTTATGAAAACTAAACCAGAACTGAGAACTGGGCTAGGATGGAATTGCCTGTGAACCCGAGGGGTGCAAAGAGGAACCACCATTGGGTCCATTAAGAAATCCACAAATAAAACAAAAATAAATCAGTGTGACACAGACAACCTGGCTGAAGGAAAGGTTTCTCTCTATGCTTCAGCCCTGCTCCAGGGCTACCAAACAGATCAGGCTTAATATTTAAAATGTTTAATAGTTAAATTTTTTTAACAATTTAACTTTAAAAAGGTCACACATTTTCTGATCCAGCAATGCCCCAATCAGATTGTTTCATTTTATTATTATTATCAACACTGTCCCCTTTTTGGCACCTGTAAAATAGTTCCTTTCGGGAGTTTGGAGCCAGGCCAGGCACCGTCGGTGCATGGGATGAGATGGGCAGGTTTGGAGCTCCTCTGTCTAGTGAGGATCACGGTCTGCAGAGAAGGGTTGGCCTCCCCGTCTCCCATCAAGGCTTAAAGCAAGGAGAACCATCCCGAATTTGGTTCCTTTTCCACTAAGTATCCTTAGAGGCGATCCACCCTGTGACTAGGTGACTAGGTGAAGGACTGAGGTCCAGAAAGGAGCTATCTTAAACCTGGAATCCCATTTCCTAGTCTGCAGCCTTAAGCAGTTTCCCTCTCAGACAACTAGCCCTCTCCTTCCTCCGCATGAAAACCCATGGCTTACAGGGATGGTTGTTGCTTTCCCTAAAGAAATTCAGGAAGGGAGATGTGAGGGTCAGTTCTCAGCGGTGGCGTTCTTTGAAGGGGACGCAGCCTGACTGCCAGGAAGGGAGAACGAGTCGGCCCAGCCAATGCTCATGCGCGAAGCACAAGCGGTTTCTCCCCTCACAGTGGTTCCCACGGTTGTCTTAGAAACCAGTCCCCGAGGCTTGGCAAAGGGGGAGACTTCCGTGGCAGTGCTTGGGTGTCAAGGCTCTGAGGCTCTGGCCTGACGACTCCACTGGGTCGAGGGGAAAGTCTCTGGATGCCAAGAGTCACAAAGGGCCAAACAGGGTGAGGAAACCCGACGCAGAGTCCGGAGAAGGCAGCATGGAATCCCTCCCTCAGGCCTCTCTGGACGGTGTTGGTGGGGGTGAGTCTCCCCAAAAGTCGTGACACGGTGATCTCGAGGACAGGACGGCCTGCGTGCCCCTGGGGTGCTCTCTCACCGAAGGGTCGTTCTCGTCGAAAGCAGAACCCCACAGCCTCAGGGGTTGCCTGGGTGTGTGTCTTTCAATGCCTTTGCTATAAGACTCTGTGTGTGTGTCTGTGTTTGTATGTGTGTGTGTCTCCCATTCTCTCTTCTCTCTCTGTCTCTCAGTCTCCGTGTGTTTCTTTCCCTCTCTCTGTCGGTTTGTGTGTGTGTGCCCCTGTGCGTGTGTGTCCTTGGCTGAATGTGCCCTGTGCACCACAAAGCTGTTTCTCGCATGGCGGCCTGTCTTTGGTGAGCCTGTTTCTGCCTCTCTGCCTGGGTCATGAGACCGGTTATCAATCCCTTTCGCCGACGCGGTTCCGCTTTGGGTGTGTGAAGGCCTGGCCCAGGTGAGGAGATTCTTCGGTCCCGGAGCAATTGAAATATTATCCCCATCCTGAGCAGCCTCTTTTCTAGGATCAAGATGAACACACTGCAGACGAGGACACGAGCCCCACAGGAGCTCTTTGTCCCGCAGGAGACCAGCGGACCCACATCAGAGAAGATGCTTGTATCTTTTCATGGCTCTTCTCTGAGAAATGAAGCCACACCACAATACGGTCTGGAAGAGGAAGCCGGGAATGGGAGATGGCAACAGTCCCTGTCACTGGAATGCTGGCCTCTCTGGACAAGCCACCCTTTTGGAACCCCACCCCTTATGACCCTGGCAGTGGAATGGTGATACATCCTGCCTGGCCGCCGGCGTCTGCCCTGTCCTCCCTCCTGCTCTGCCTCACCTGTTTCTCAAGTGCCTCAATGCCTCTCGCTGACGCCCAATGTCTTCAACAAAGATGACTTCCCAGTCGGTCAGGGAGACATTTCTTCGAGATCCATGTCGTGATTGTTTCTCTCTCCAAACGTGTTTCTGCTTGATTGGGCAGGTCACATGACCTGGGAGCTCCTGGCTTCCATTCGTGTCTCAGGCAGGGAAGCTTCCTTCTTCTCCACGTTTCCCCTCATGGGTGGGTGGATTGCCTAGAATGAGCGCTAGGTGACCATGACTGGCCTTGTCTTCCAGGAAAGGTAGTGTCGCATTTCCTCTGCACTTCCTGTCTCATTCATGAGGGACATCCTCTCCTCTGCTCCTGCATGGACTGACTCCCTTGATCTTCTGGCCGAAACAAATGTCAGGGAACCAAAGGGACTGGGCTGGGGCTGGGGCTGGGGCTGGGGCTGGGGCTGGGTGCAGCCTAAGTTGCGTCAGGGCTACCAGGGCGGTGGAGGGTTGGGGGTGGGGCGAATTTTGCAGAAACCTCTTTGCTCCTCTGGTAGGCATGTGAAAACTTGGCTTGGGTCAGGCACAGGACCCCCACCCCCCGGGTCCTAGGTGTTCTTTGATTTTCCTTGGCATTGATGGAAAGGTCAACCGTTTCCCCATTCAACCGGCACATGCCTGGACACCACCCTTTGTTTCGCCGTCACCCCGTATGCCTCCGGTGACACACATTAACACCAACTGCTGTGGGATAGGCCAGTGCCACGCGTGGTCACATGGTCTCCACCTCGGATTCGCCCCTGTTCCTCTATGCAGGTGTCCTGTAAAGCGCGGTGGGCTTTCCGGAACCCCAGGGCTTTGACAAGCGGGGCAGGCCACTGCTCTTTCAAAGGAGGAGGGAGGCAGAGGGCTGATGGATAAGTGAATTTGCAGCTGACACTAGGCCTTGAGACCTATGGGATCATTCTGCGCTGCAGCGAGGCCCTGCCTGCCTCACCAGATGTGGTGAGCCCATCCTATTTCACTCGAAGGGGGCCAAAATTGGATCTGAACAGGAGGCCGGAGAACACAGCAGGCGTCCTGAAGCTCCCCCTCCCTCAGTGGAAGTCGGCTCAAGCAGGTCCTGAGGTGAGGACTCCTCGGGGTTTGGCCCTGGGACAGGAGAAGACACCCACGGCCCCCTCTCCCACGCCGCCCCAAACTGGACCCCGGATCTAGCCGCCGCAGCGGGGCTAGCAGGAGCCTCGCTGCTGTCGCGCTCAGAGGTGGCAGTATTTAAAGGGGACACAGCCTGACAGTCAGGAGCGGAGCGCGAGTTAGCTCAGTCAGTGCACATGCGCGAGGCGGGAGCGGCTTCTCCAGTCACAGTGGTTCCCACGGTTGTCTTAGAAACCAGTCCCCGAGGCTTGGCGAAGAAGGAGCCCTCCGTGGCAGTGCTTGGGTTTCCGGGCTCTGAGGCTCCGGCCTAACCTCTTCTTGGGGTCAACGGGAACGTCCCCAGATGCCAGGAGTCGCAAAGGGCCGACTACCATGAGGAAAGCCCAGCGGAGACGGGGGAAGCAGCACGGGATCCCAGCCTCAGGCCTGACCGGACGGTGTTGGTTGGGGTGAGTCTCCCCAAAAGTCGTGCCTCCGTCAGTGATCTCTAGGACAGGTCGGCCTGCATGCCCCTGGGCTGCTCTCTCACCCGACGGTCCTTCTCATAGAGAGCAGAACATCACAGCCTCAGGGATTGCTTGGGGGTGTGTTTTTCAATGCCCCCCTCCTTAGAAAGAGCAGTGGCCTGCCCTGCTTCTAAAAGCCCTGGGGCTCCGGGAGCCGACAGTGCTTTACAGGACACCTGCAAAGAGGAACAGGGGCAAATCCGAGGCGGAGACCATATGACTACGCGTGGCACTGGCCTATCCCACAGCAGTTGGTGTTAATGCGTGTCACTGGAGGCATACGGGGAGACGGCGAAACAAAGGGTGGTGTCCAGGAAGGGGGAAACGGGTGACCTTTCCATCAATGCCAAGGAAAATTGAAAAACACGTGGGACACGCGGGGTGGGGGGGGGCCTGTGCCTGACCCAAGCCACGTTTTCAAATGCCTACCAGAGGAGCAAAGAGGTTTCTGCAAAATTTGCCCCATCCCAAACCGTCCAAGGCCCTGGCAGCCCTGACACAACTTTGGCTGCACCGAGCCCCAGGACCAGCCCTCCACCCTAGACCAGTCCCTTGGGTTCCCTGACATTCTTTTCTGCCAGATGATCAAGGGCTTCAGTTCACCCAGGAGCAGAGGAGAGGATGTCCCTCAAGAATGAGACAGGAAGTGCAGAGGAAATGCGACACCACCTGTCCTGGAAGACAAGGCCAGTCACGTTCACCTAGCGCTCATTCTAGGCAATCCAACCACCCATGAGGGGAAACGTGGAGAAGAAGGAAGCTTCCCTGCCTGAGACACCTAAGGAAGCCAAGAGTTCCCGGGTCATGAGACCAGCCCAATCAAGCAGAAACAGGTTTGGAGAGAGAAACAATCACGGCACAGATCTCGAAGAAATGTCTCCCTGACGGACTGGGAAGCCATCTTCGTTGAAGGCATTTGGCCAGAGCTAGAGGCATCCAGGCCCCTGAGAAACAGGGGAGGCAGAGTAAGACGGAGGACAGAGAAGAGGCCGGAGCCCAGGCAGGATACAGCACCATGCCACCGCCAAGGGCATAAGGGGTGGGGTTCCAAAAGGGTGGCTTGTCCAGGGAGGCCAGCGTTCCAGGGACAGGGATTGTTGCCATCTCTCATTCCCGGCTTCCTCTTGCTGACTGTATCGTGGTGTGGCTTCATTTCTCAGAGAAGAGCCGTGAAAAGACTCAAGCATCTTCTCTGACATGGGTCTGCTGCTCTCCTGTAGGACAAAGAGCTCCTGTGGGATTCTTCTCCTCATCTGCAGTGTGTTCGTTTTGATGCTAGAAAAGAGGCCGCTCAGGATGGGGATGAGACTTCAATTGCTCCGAGACCGACACATCTCCTCACGTGGGCCAGGCCTTCACAGAGCCAAAGTGGATCCACAGCAGCAAAAACGATTGACAACCGGCCTCATGACCCAGGCAGAGACGCAGAAAGAGGCTCAACAAAGACAGACCGCCATGCGAAAAACCGCTTTGTGGCACACAGGGCACCTCCAGCCAAAAACACACACGCACACGGGCATGCACACACAAACCCACAGAGAGAGGGAAAGAAGCACACAGAGACTGAGAGAGGGAGAGAGAAGAGAGAATGGGAGACACACACACACACACACACACACACACACACACACACACACACACACACACACAGAGTAATACAGCAGAGGAATTGAAACACACACCACCAGGCAATCTCTGAGGCTGCGGAGTTCTCCTCACGACGAGAACGACCCTCGGGTGAGAGAGCAGCCCAGGGTCACGCAGGCCGACCTGTCCTCGGGGTCTCGGATGGCGGCACGACTTTTGGGGAGACCCACCCAACCAACAACACCGTCCGGGCAGGCCTGAGGCTGGGATCCCGTGCTGCTTCCCCCGTACCCCCCTGGGGTTTCCTCATCGTGGTCGGCCCTTTGCGACTCCTGGAATCCGGAGACGTTCCCTTCGACCCCGTGGAGAGGTCAGGCCGGAGCCTCACAGCCCCGACACCCAAGCACTGCCACCGAGGGCTCCTGCTTTGCCAAGCCTCAGGGACTGGTTTCTAAGACAACCGAAGGAACCACTGTGAAGGGAGAAGCCACTAGCGCCTCGCGCATGCGCATTGGCTGGGACGATTCGCGCTCAGCTCCTGGCAGTCAGGCTACGTCCCCTTTAAATATCGCCACCGTCGCCTGGCGGCCGCGATGCTCCTGCTGCCGCCATGGCGGCGGCTGGATCCTGGGTCCTGTTTGGGGTGGCGTGGGAGAGGGGGCCGCGGGAGTCTCGTCCTTTCCCAGGCCCAAACCCCCAGGGGTCCTGTCCTCAGGACCTGCTTGAGCCGACTTCCTCCGAGGGAGGGGGAGCTTCAGGACTCCTGCTGTGTTCTCCGGACTCCCGTTGAGATCCGATTTTGGCCCCCTCCCAGTGAGATAGGATGGGCTCACAAAAACTGGTGAGGCCGGCAGGGCCTCGCTGCAGCACAGAATGATCTCATAATTCTCAAGGCCTAGAGTCAGCTGAAAATTCACTGATCCATCAGCCCTCTGCCTCCCTCCTCCTTTGAAAGAGCAGTGGCCTGCCCCACTTCTAAAGGCCCTGCGGTTCCAGAAAGCCGACCACGCTTTACACGACACCTGCAAAGAGGAAAACAGGCGAATCCGAGGGGGAGACCATGTGACCACGCGTGGCACTGGCCAATCCCACAGCAGTTGGTGTGAATGTGTCTCACCGGAGGCATAAGGGGCGACGGCGAAACAAAGGGTGGGGTCCAGGCATGTGGCGGTGGAAGGAGGAAACCGGTGACCTTTCCATCAATGCCAAGGAAAATCAAAGAACACCTGGGACCCGGGGGGTGGGGGAGCCGCCTGTGCCTGACCCAAGCCACGTTTTCAAATGCCTACCGGAGGAGCAAAGAGGTTTCTGCAAAATTCGCAACACCCCCAATCCTCCATCGACCTGGTAGCCCTGACGTAACTTCGGCTGTCACAAACCCACAGAGAGTGGGAAAGAAACACACAGAGACTGAGAGACAGAGAGAGAAGAGAGAATGGGAGACACACACACAGACACACACACACACACACACAGAGTCATACAGCAGAGGCATTGAAACACACACCCCCAGGCAACCCCTGAGGCTGCGGGGTTCTGCTCTGGAGGAGAACGTCCCTCCGGTGAGAGAGGAGCCCAGGGGCACGCAGGCCGACCCGTCCTCGAGATCATGGACGGCGGCACGACTTTTGGGGAGACTCACCCCAACCAACACCGTCTGTGCAGGCCTGAGGCTGGGATCCCGTGCTGCTTCCCCCGTCTCCGCCTGGGGTTTCATCATCATGGTCGGCCCTTTGCGACTCCTGGCATCCGGAGACGTTCCCTTCGACCCCGTGGAGAGGTGAGGCCGGAGCCTCAGAGCCTGGACACCCAAGCACTGCCACGGAGGGCTCCTGCTCTGCCAAGCCTCGGGGACTGGTTTCTAAGACAACCGTGGGAACCACTGTGATGGGAGAAACTGCTCGCGCCTCGCGCATGCGCATTGGCTGAGCGGACTCGCGCTCCGCTCCGGACAGATAGGCTGCGTCCCCTTTAAATATTGCCACCGCCCCGCGGCGGCCGCGATGCTCCTGCTGCCGCTGTGGCGGCGGCTGGATCCTGGGTCCTGTTTGGGGCGGCGTGGGAGAGGGGGCCGCGGGTGTCTCGTCCTGTCCCAAGCCCAAACCCCCAGGGGTCCTGTCCTCAGGACCTGCTTGAGCCGACTTCCACGGAGGGAGGGGGAGCTTCAGGACGCCTGCTGTGTTCTCCGGACTCCCGTTGAGATCCGATTCTGGCCCCCTCCGAGTGAGATAGGATGGGCTCACCACATCTGGAGAGGCCGGCAGGGCCTCGCTGCAGCACACAATGATCCCATAGGTCTCAAGGCCTAGTGTCAGCTGCAAATTCACTCATCCATCAGCCCTCTGCCTCCCGCCTCCTTTGAAATATCAGTGGCTTGCCCCGCTTCTAAAAGCCCAGGGGCTCCGGAAAGCCGACCGCGCTTTACAGGACACGTGCCACCAGGAACAGGGGCGAATCCGACGTGGAGACCGTGTGACCACGCGTGGCACTGGCCTACCCCACAGCAGATGGTGTGTCGCCAGAGGCATATGGGGCGACGGCGAAACAAAGGGTGGTGTCCAGGCGTGTGCTGGTGGAAGGGGGAAATGAGTGACCTTTCCATCAATGCCAAGGAAAGTCGAAGAACACCTGGGGCTCGGGGGTTGCGGGTCGAGATGGGGGGCTGTGCCTGACCCAAGCCACGTTTTCAAATGCGTACCAGAGGAGCAAAGAGGTTTTGGCAAAAATCGCCCCACCCCCAAGCCTCCACCGCCCTGGTAGCCCTGAGGCAACTTTGGCTGCACCCAGCCCCAGCCCCATCCCCAGCCCCAGCCCCAGCCCAGTCCCTTTGTTTTCCTGACATTCGTTTCGTCCAGAAGATCAAGGGAGTCAGGCCACCCAGGAGCAGAGGAGAGGATGTCCCTCAAGAATGAGACAGGAATTGCAGAGGAAATGGGACACCACCTGTCCTGGAAGTCAAGGCCAGTCACGGTCGCCTAGCGCTCATTCTAGGCAATCCATCCACCCATGAGGGGAAACGTGGGGAAGAAGGAAGCTTCCCTGCCTGAGACACCTATGGAAGCCAAGAGCTCCCGGCTCATGATACCTGCCCAATTAAGCAGAAACACGTTTGGAGAGAGAAACGATCATGACACGGATCTCCAGAAAGTGTCTCCCTGACGGACTGGGAAGTCATCTTTTTTGAAGGCATTTGGCCAGAGCGAGAGGCATCCAGGCCCCTGAGAAACAGGGGAGGCAGAGCCAGAGGGAGGAGAGAGTAGAGGCCAGAGCCCAGGCAGGATACAGCACCGTGCCACCGCCACAGGCATAAGGGGTGGGGTTCCTAAAGGGTGGCTTGTCCAGAGAGGCCAGCGTTCCAGTGACAGGGACTGTTGCCATCTCCCATTCCCGGCTTCCTCTTGCTGACTGTATCGTGGTGTGGCTTCATTTCTCAGAGAAGAGCCGTGAAAAGATACAAGCATGTTCTCTTGCGTGGATCCGCTGCTCTCCTGTGGGACAAAGAGTTCCTCTGGGGCTCTTGTTCTCGGCTGCAGTGTACTCATCTTGATCCTAGAAAAGAGGCCACTCATGATGGGGTTGAGATTTCAGTTGCTCCGGGAGCGACGCATCTCCTCACGTGGGCCAGGCTTTCAGACACCCAAAGCGGATCCGCCGCGGCGAAAACGATTGACAGCCGGCCTCATGACCCAGGCAGAGAAGCAGAAAGAGGCTCACCAAAGACAGGCTGCCATGCGACAAACCGCTTTGTGGCGCACAGGGCACATTCGGCCAAAGACACACACGCACACGGGCATACACACACAAACCCACAGAGAGAGGGAAAGAAACACACAGAGACTGAGAGACAGAGAGAGAAGAGAGAATGGGAGACACACACACAGACACACACACACACACACACACACAGAGACACACACACAGCGTCATACAGCAGAGGCATTGAAACACACACCACCAGGCAACCCCTGAGGCTGCGGGGTTCTGCTCACGACGAGAAAGACCCTCGGGTGAGAGAGCAGCCCAGGGGCACGCAGGCCGACCTGTCCTCGAGATCACGGATGGCGGCACGACTTTTGGGGAGACTCACCCCAACCAACACCGTCCGGGCAGGCCTGAGGCTGGGATCCCGTGCTGCTTCCCCCGTCCCCGCCTGGGGTTTCCTCATCGTGGTCGGCCCTTTGCGACTCCTGGCATCCGGAGACGTTCAGGTCGACCCCGTGGAGAGGTCAGGCTGGATCCTCAGAGCCCCGACACCCAAGCACTGCCACGGAGGGCTCCTGCTTTGCCAAGCCTCGGGGATTGGTTTCTAAGACAACCGTGGGAACCACTGTGACGGGAGAAACCGCTCCCGCCTCGCGCATGCGCATTGGCTGAGCGGACTCGCGCTCCGCTCCTGGCAGTATGGCTGCGTCCCCTTTAAATACTGCCGCCGCCTGGCGGCGGCAGCGAGGTTCTTCCTGCCGCCATGGCGGCGGCTGGATCCGGGATCCAGTTTGGGGCGGCGTTGGAGAGGGGGCCGCGGGTGTCTTGTCCTGTCCCAGGGCCAAACCCCTAGGAGTCCTGTCCTCAGGACCTCCTTGAGCCGACTTCCACCGAGGGAGGTGGAGCTTCAGGATGCCTGCTGTGTTCTCCAGACTCCCTTTCAGATCCGATTTTGGCCCCCTCCGAGTGAGATAGGATAGGCTCACCACATCTGGTGAGGCAGGCAGGGCCTTGCTGCAACACAGAATGATCCCGTAGGTCTCAAGGCCTACTTGTACTGTTGTACATAATGTATATAATTGACTTTTATTCACTCGACAAAATTTCCTAAAAATACATCCAAATGATTGCATTAATTAATATTTTGTTCCTTTGATGACTGAGTAGTATTTCATGGTTTCTGGTATAAATTCACCACAAATTAAACATTCACCTGGGCTTATTGACCTTTTCAACTGTAACAAATTAAGCTGTTGTAGACATTCGTGAACAAGTTTTTGTGGGACCACAAGTTTCATCACTCCAAATTAAACACCCACAACTGCAATTGCTGGGATCTATGGTCTATGCATATCTGGTTTTTATTTTACTTTAAAAAATTTTTAATTATTTTCTTAAAATTTTATGGGTACACTGAGTGCCCACAGAAGCTAGTAAGGATACTGGGGCATTGGAGAGGAGGTAGAGAAGGTTAATCAGCACACACACAAAAAAAAATGTGGAAAGAATGAATAACATGTCTGTCTTTTTAAAAAACTGTCAACTATTTTTCAGAGTGGCTCTATTATTTTACTTTTCCACTAGCAACTTATGAGTGATCGTATTTTTTACATCCTGAATAGCTTTTGCTATTGTCACAATTTTTAAAAGTCATTTTGATAGGTGTGTAGAAATATCTCACTATGGTTTTATTTGACATGTCCATGATGATTAATAATATTGAACATGTTTCATGGATTATTTGACATCTGAATATTTTTCTTGTTAAAACGTCCATTGATGTCTTTTGTCCATTACCTAATTGGATCATTTGCATTTTTTTTTAAAAATTTGCTGTTGTGTTTTGTGTCATCTCTATTTATTTTTGTTGGTTTTGATAGATGTTTATCAATTGATTGATTTTTTCAATAAACCAGCTTTTTGTTTCACATTTTTTTCTGTTTTCAATTTCATGAATTTTTGTTATTGTGATGATTATTTTTCTTCTTCTGCCTGCTTTCAGTTTACTCTGTTCTTTTTCTAGTTTCTTGAGATACAAGTGTAAGTTATTGATTTGAGATCTTTTCTTATTTTTAATGAAGCATTTAGTACTATAAATTTCTTTCCCACCACAGCCTTAGCTGTATTTCCTATATTTTGATATGTTGTATTTTTCTTTCATTTGTTGAAATATATTTTTAGATTTTTATTTAAGACTTTATATTTAATCCATAGATCATTTGGAACTGTGTTGCATAAGTGAAATGCATTTAAACATTTTCCTGCTCTCTTTCTGTTACTGACTTTTATTTTAATTCCATTATGGTCAGAGAACATACTCTATATGACATAAATTCTTTTAAATGTATCAGCGTTTGTTTTATGGTGCAAGAAATCATCTAGTATTTTAGTTAATATTTCATGAGCTCCTGAAAAACTGTATATTCTGCTGTTTTTTGTGGACTGATTCTATATTTAGAGAGAGATATATATATAATTGACATATATATTTATCTGTATATGTGTGTCTGTGTGTGTGTGTGTGTGTGTTTGTGTGTGAATAAAATCTTGTTGGTTGATTGTGCTGTACAGATCTTCTACATGCTTGCTGATTGTTAAATTTTTGTCCAATAATTCTATCAATTGCTGAGATAAGGCTGTTAAAACCCACAACTATAATTTATTATTTTTTAGTTCTATAATTTTTCTCTTCATGTTGTTTAAGACTTTGTTATTTGGTGCATATATATTTGGAATTGTTATGTTTACTTGTGAATTGATCCATTTATTATTAGTGTTGCAGTCTCCTCACTCCTTAATTTAGTGAGGTCCAAGATCTTGTCCCACAACCAAGAGAATGAGGCACACAAATACCAGAGAGTGAGTAAGGCAAATTAGCATTCATTAAGCAACAGAAAAGCTCTCAGCAGCAAGAGTGGACCCAAACAAGGGTTGCCAGAAATGGGGCTGAGTTCTGATCCCTTTATGTGACAGAAACAAGGAAGTCTTTTGTGGGTCCTGCCTTAATGGAAGGGGTAAAATTCCCTGCTGGGAGTGTTCTGTCTGTGCATACCTAGGTTTGGCAGTAGTGACTCCATCTTGATTATTAGTCATAAGTGCCTAAGCAAAATTCATGGGGGCACCAAAACTGCAATGCTAATGATATTACAATTAGCTCTGGGTCAAGTTAAGGACATTTAGTTGATTTATTGAAACATAATTGGGACAGTCCCTTCTGAGAGACATCTTGGTATAAGAGGAAGTTGTTAACCACATTTCCACATTCTAGCTACACCACAAAGGTAGTGCAGGTGCATTCCCATGGGTGCTGTCTTTCTCCCAAGACCCTTCCTCTCTATCTGCCTAGCCAGCCTCTAACTGCCTCCTCTGTTGTTAGTAATGTTCTTTGTAAGATTTTTGAATCTAACTTCTAGATTATCAGATATTAATATAGCCACTTTTGCCCTTTTATTGATAAATATTTCCATGGTATGTATTTTTATATTATTTTACTTGCAACCTACTGATACTATTGAATTAAAGTGTATTTCTTACTATAGCAATAGTTAAGGTTGCATTTTTTTATTTATTCAGCTAATTTCTCTTTTGATTGGTGTATTTATGTCACTTATATTTAATGTAATTATTAATGTACTAAAACCTAAGCATTTCATTTTATTATTTACTACATATTCATTTGTTTTGTTCTCATTTTTCAGTTTTCCTTTTTTTTTGGACTTACTGTGTGCTACTCGAGCTTTCATGTTGCTTTACTTACAATGTTTGAATACATCTACAATATACACTCTTTGCTTTGGAAATTTGTATATACTTTTTATGCTACTCTTCATATTTTAATACCTGATTTAATATCCGATTTATAAAACAATATATAAATACCAATGGTTTTACACTTTTGATTAAAGCAAGGAAGCTCAGCTTATATTTATTTTCCTTTATCTTCTATACTTTTAAATATCACTTCCTTTAGTATCAAGTGGAGTTATAATTTTTGTTTCTATCATCAACTATGATTTATAATACTCACTAGGAAAACACATCTATTGGATGTATTCATATTTCTGCTAATTCTATTAATATATCTTCCTTCTTTCTTGATGTTCAAAATTCCTTTTTTTTCTTTATTTTGTTTGAATAACAGTTTTAGTAAACATTTAATGGTAAGCTTGCTAACAACAAATTTTTAAACAGTTCAAAAAATATAATTTTCCTTTACTCCAGAAGCATAGTTACAACATCTGTAGCATTCAGAGTTGGCAGCTCTTTTCTTTCACTACCTGAAAAATATTGTGTAACTTGTTTCTGACCTCCATTGTTTCAGATGAAAAAACGTATTTTCATTTACATTGGTTTTCCTCTATAGGTGATGTTTCACCTATAGGTGACTGTTTCTATCTGGCTGCTTTTAAGACTTTGTCTTTAGTTTTGTCAACAACCTACATTGGGGAAAGGACACAATCTCCAATACATGCTTCTGGAAAAATTGGATATCCATATGCAGAAGAATGAAACTAAACTCCTATCACTCACCTTATACAAAAATAAACTCAAAATGGATTAAAAATTTAAATGTAAGACATGAAAAATTAGACTACCATACACTGTTGTTGGTAAGTTAAATTATTTCACTTATTATGAAAAACTGTATGGTGGTTTCTCAAAACAAAAATAGAGACACCATATGATCTAGTGATCCCACTACTAGGTGTTTATCCAAAGGAAAGGAAATCATTACACTTAAGAGGCATCTGCACCTCCATATTTATTGCAGCTGTCTTCACAATAACCAAGATATGGAATTAAGCTAAATATCCATCAATGGATGGATAGATAAAAAATGTGGTATATACATATACCAAATTTGTATATACATTCATATATATATATATATATATGAATAATATTCTGCCATAAAAAGAATGAAATTCTGTCATTTGCAGAATCATGGATAAGACTAGCGAACATTATGTTAAGTGGAATAAGTCAGACTCAGAAAAATTAATACTGTCTGTCCTTACCCATATGCAGGAGCTAAACAAATTTGAGCTCATTAAAGTAAATGGTAGAATTGTGGTTATTAGATGTTGGGAAGGATGTGGGAGCAGAGGTTGGTTAATGGACACAAAATTATAGCTATATTGGAGGAATAAGTTCTGTTGTAGTGCTCTATAGCTGGTCGCATGGAAATAACTATAATTTATGGTATATTTTCAAAAAGCTAGAAGAGAGGATTTTGAATGTTGTCAACACAAAAGTATGATAAATGTTTGAGGTGTTTGAAATGCTAATTACCCTGATTTGATCATTACGCATTGTACACCTGTATCAAAATATCAGTTTCCATAAATATGTACAATTATTGCATGCCAACTAACAATAAAAGGACAAGATAAAGATTCAAAAAATAGGAAGAAATATCATTTTTCTGATACAATTTCTTCTCAGTGTGCCCATGATGTTTCATGATTGCAAAGCATTCTTTTAAGTGCTTTTAAAGTATTGTTTTCATGCTTCTTAAAATTGCTTCCAGAAGTAATGTCAAACTCATTCACCTATAGTTTATGAGATCTATCTTCCTTTAAAAAACTAGTACACTGCCCATTTCTTGTCTTCTAAAACTTTTACTATTCTCCATAATCCTCAAAGATATCTAGAGCAACTTAAAAATCTCTTTCCTAAACTTTCTTATTGTTTTGGAATGAGTTCTACTCCAATACTAGGGCCCAGGGCTCATAGTGCCCCTTCGTTCATCTTGAGATTTAATTAAAAGCAATGTTGAGTCTTCTCTTTTGGATCTAAAGATCTATTTGATGAGAAAGACTGAAGAAAAATAAGGATAAGGGTATTTCCTCCATGTTTTCATGGCACAAAATCTTTGTTTGCTAACTGTGATAAGCAGAATAATGCCCCCCCCCACCCCCCACAAGACTGTCCCTGTCCTATTCTCCATGTCAGGAAGGATATGCTATGTAATATAAGAATATATGATGTTACAATGCAAGAAAGTATTAAGGTTGCACATGACATTAAGCTTACTAAACAGCGGAACTTAAAATAAGAGATCATACTTGATTATCTGGGGGGGGGCAATTTAATCACAAGAATCCTTTAAATGTGGAAGAGTGTGGTAGAAAATATTTAAAGATACTACACTGCTAATTGTACTGGAGGAAAGAACCAAGAGACAAGGAATGGGGAAAGTGGACAAGAGACAAGAAATGAAGACAGCCCCTAGAAGCTGGAAAAGGCAAGAACATGTATTCTCCTTTAGAGTCCCCAGAAGGAAAGCGGTGCTGCTGACACCTTGATTTTAGCCTAATGAAAACCATTTAAGATTTCTGACCTCTATAATTTTAAAGTGGTAGATTTATGTTTCTAAACTACCAAATAAAAATATTTTGTCTTTAGTTTTTAAAAGTTTAATCAAAATATTTCTTGAAATGTGTTTATTCCGTGTAGGGTATCTTAGGCTTCTTGAATCTATACATTTGTGTCTTCTGCAAATTTGAGGTTTTTTTGAAGCACTATTTCTTCAAGTATTCTTTCAGCCTCATTTTACTTTTTTTCTGGTACACGTAATAAAAATGTTGGATCTTTTGTTGTTGCCTCACACATACCTACATCTCTGTTCATTTTATGTATCAGTCTATTTTATTTATGTTGTTCAAATTGGTTAAATTCTACTATTCTGCCCTCACATTCACTGATTTTACCTTCTCGCATCTCAATGGCACTATTGACTCCATCCAACACATTTTTCATTTCTGTTACCGTGTTTGTTTGCTTTTATAATTTACATTTTGTTCTTTTTTGTTGTTTTTTTTTTACAAATCAAGTTTGGTTAATATTTTGCGATTTTGTTATATATTTTAAGATAATTTCTATTTGATGTTGAAACATTTTTGCTAGATATTTTAAAATCATATTCAGATGATTCCAACATCTGATGCGTTTTGGTGTTGGTGTCAGTTAACTGTCTTTTTTCACTCATATTGTTATTTTCTTGGTTCTTTGTATGATCGGTGATTTGTAATTATATTCTGGACATTTGTCTATCATGGCAGACAATTCTGAGCTCTATTTAAACTGTTCCTTTTGGCAGGCAGTCACACTGTTTAGCTTTAGCATGTACATCCTGGGTGTGGGGCAGGTACACTGTGTACTATTTACTAGCTTGTCTGAGTTCAGTTAAACAGAACACACTCATATGCAACAAATTACATAAAGCAGATGTATCATTTACAGACAAAGAGCAAGAGACAACAGGTACCTATGTGAGCCGATCCATTACGAGCCAGTAGCCCAAGGCTCAACAAAGTTGCCTGAAGTGGATGGAATGCATGTGAAGTGCCTGAAGTGGATGGAGTGATTGTGCATGGCCCACTTGTACCACAGTTGAGGGACCCCACAAGACAGCTTGCCCTAGGTTACACACCTCAGGACCAATGGGAAACTATGGCCTAAAGTTTTGAAGAACATTCTCTGTCAAGGGAGAGAGTAACAAGGCCTAGGCTGTTTCAGGCAGTTCTTCCCTGTCTCAGGATATTGCATTCTCAGCATATACTACAGTTGCTCTTGACAACTGCAAGCAAGAAAGAGGGGATAATTGGGTCAGTCCAAGGACACCTGGAAAGTTGACCTGCAGTCTCCTGCTCCAACCAAGATATTTCCCTTAGAAAAGCTGGTGTATTTCATATGCCCATTGACCTCTCCAGATCTGGAGGTGGAGGTTTGTCTTGTCAGATCAATGTAACACCTTGGCTGACTCTGTCTCAGTGAAACATCATTGAGTCATAGCCAGAATACATTTTACTAGTCCCAGGAGGACTACTACCACTAGCAGCACAGCCAGACCTCTCTGCAGTAGTAATCTAGCCCTGGGTCTCAAAGATCTAGGTAAGAGGTTGCCATAGAGGTTAAAGAAGGATTCTTCAGGTGGCCCCACTGTCTACAACCAATGGGTCAGCTTCTGGATCTCCTCTACCTATGTTTCTACAATACCTAAGATGTTTATCCCAATACAGTAAGAGGTGCTGGCAATTGTATACACTTCTCCCAGTTGAGCTAAAAGAAAGTCTGCAGGGCCGAGTGCGGTGACTCATGCCTGTAATCCCAGCACTTTGGGAGGCCAAGATAGGTGGATCACCTGAGGTCAGGAGTTCGAGACCAGCCAGACAAACATGCAGAAACCCTGTCTCTACAAAAAAAAAAAAAAATACAAAATTAGCCAGGAGTGGTGGTGCACACCTATAATCCCAGCTACTCTGGAGTCTGAGGCAAGAGAATCACTTAGACCTGGGAGGCAGAGGTTGCAGTGAGCTGAGATCATACCACTGCACTCCAGCATGGGCAACGAGAGCGAAACTCCATCTCAAACAAAAAGAGTCTGGAACAATTCTGTTGTTTAAAATAACTTTCTGGGTGGATCTGGGAGATGTTTCCTTGGCTTCTAAGACAGTGGCAATGGAGGAGGCAATATTTGCCATGGTTTGGGACAGGTTTATTTTCATTTTTTTATGAGCAATAACTCCTATGAATGGTACCAAAGATCTCATAAAAGACGTAAACCCAAAGTCAGTTACACATCCAGTCAGGTCTTTGGTAAGTCTGGTATACAGCATTAGGCTCCTGAGTCAATGGAGCACTTCATTTTGGGGGTGAATTC